>NC_000020.11:7036031-7187547 GCF_000001405.40 Homo sapiens | reverse complement strand
CTCAGTGTAAACCTGGCAATACAGAGACTGGTGCCACACTGTAAATGGAGATTAAGAAATAGAAACTGAGCTTGATCTTGCTAAGGTTATGGATTATCCCTAGCACTTGAGCTGGGATCTTTGAAGTGTACTCAATGCCTTCAAGAGCAAGAAGATGGAGATGAGTACACTCTTATGTCTTCATTCTACTAATAATTCTTAGTCAAGAAAGTACAACTACTCAGCATTGGGGACTAGGAATAATTTTCTAAGATACAGCAAATGTAATTGGTGCTTTCTGGAATAAAATAATTAAAAGACAGTTATGGCAAAGGTATAAAGACTCTACCTATAAATGTCTATGGAAGGAACTCTCTTAGCCAAAAAAATAAGTGGCTATCAGACGATTTTTAATCCCTTTATTTTGCTTTGGCTGTAATCATTGTTACTTGGTGATGAGCATATTGTTTGGCCGTTTATTCTTTTTTAGAAAAAAAAAAATACGTATTGTCAATAGCTCTTCCAAATGAAAATCACTGCCCAAGGAGCACTGTATAAGCAGCAGTAAGACATTTGCAACCAAGCAAGCATTAACGAAGTCTTGGGTAATTTCTACTGTGGTGAGCAGAATAATGCCAAACCTGCTAGATGTCTGGATTTCTGGCTGCCTAATAAATCTTTCCTTTGTGTAGCCTGTGAATGTTGGCTCATGATCTTCTTACATCAGACTGGCTCTAAAGGGGCTCACTAAAATTGTCCCCAACATCTCCACATGGTAATCTCAAATAAATCAGAGCAGGACTTTTTCATCATTTTTAATAGAGGAAATTATTTAGCAATGCTCATACAATGTACAACAATTTTACTGTTGTGTTTGTTTATGTGATACACAGATTTGTTTGGTTTGCTTTTGTCTTTGATGCTTAAAAAAATTAGAGGGGATTTTATGTTTCTAGATTCCTGGAATCTGTTGGAAACACAAAGAGGATGTTCTCCCAGCATTATAGTCTCAACTAAATTTTACTTCTCAGTCTCTGACAACTCACTTTCTAACTCGAAGTCTCAGTTAAGTTCTACATAAGCACCTCCATCTTTTCATACTTATCCCCGACTAGCTAATTTTTTAAAGTAAGTGGAACTTACTTTATTTCTTCTTCCTTTTTACAGAGAAGGAAAACAGGTAAACTGTATTCTTTTTTTTTTTCCTTTTTTTAGGTCTCCTTTGATTTATTTAATCAGCATTGTATTGTTTTCAGCATATACGTTTGGTATATGTTTTGTCAGACTTACACATACATTATTCTCTTTTAAAGCAATTACAAGTGGCGTTGGATTCTTAATTTCAGTGTCCAACATGCTCATTGTTAGTTGGTGTTGATTTCTTTTTAAATGCTTGGTGAAGTTCCCTAGTGAAACCATGTGAGCCTGGAGATTTCTTTGTCTGTGCCTGTTAATGTTTTTGGGTTGCTGGCTTCTCCAGCACCCAGCACCCTGCCTGAGATTCATGAGGCCAAAGAAAACACAGAAGACTCACTACCATGCGCTTCCTTGGACCTCAAGCTCCCTAGCTAGCCTCCCTTCTTCTCTATAACTTTCAGAGTCACCTTAAGTTTTATGTATATATATGTCCAAGGTTTTTATTTGTACTTAGTGGGAAGAATAGGGAAAAATATGTCTACTCCATCTTCTCAAAAGTAGAAGTCCCCAGATTATAGAACCTTTTGATTCTAAATTTATTTGAGAAGCTATTTAAACACATACACACATTTATAGACATCAGATATTTGTTTTCTAAATCTGTGCCAATGTGTTATGTGTTCCTGGGGCTAGTACTAGGGCCTGTGAGACAGTGCTACTCATCATGCGGTCCAGGATTCAGTACCAATAGTGGTTACTGCTCTGTAATCAATTTAAAATTCGAGAATGTACTTTTAATCTTCTTTGTTCATGGGTGTGTTACAAATAGTTTGTATGCTAGCACTCATCTCCTGACCACAATTACAGTAGCATGATATTTTTAAGAAAACATTCAGTAGTAGATAGGTCAAAGAAAGTTAAAAAGCTTTCTATACTGGTGGACTCCACAAAGACGATGTGTCAACATCGTCTTTGTGTAACTCACAGGTGAAGCTCTTTTGAAATGTTTCTTTTTTTTTAATATTATAATTATTATACTTTAAGTTTTAGGGTACATGTGCACAACGTGCAGGTTTGTTACATATGGATACATGTGCCATGTTGGTGTGCTGCACCCATTAACTCGTAATTTAGCATTAGGTTTATCTCCTAATGCTATCCCTCCCCCATCCCCCCATCCCACAACAGTCCCCGATGTGTGATGTTCCCCTTCCTGTGTCCATGTGTTCTCATTGTTCAATTCCCACCTATGAGTGAGAACATGCGGTGTTTGGTTTTTTGTCCTTGCAATAGTTTGCTGAGAATGATGGAGGTAAACCGTATTCTATATACTTTCATTTTAAAGCCCACACATACTTTGAGACTGGAGTAAAACTGTGGAGTGAATCAATGGCCCATGCACTATTTCTTGGGAAAAATTCATCCACAAAACACAACTTCTTTTGTGATAATGACCTGAGATGTTTGAAGTGGGGAAAGATGCATTGCAAATATTCGCATACGTATGACTGCAGATGTCTGCCATGATGAAAGAAAAGGGGAAACAAAGGAGAAGTGACTCAATGGTAATCTTGATGAATTGTATACTTAGACTCTTTCTCCAGGGAGCAATTCTCTTCAAGGAAAAACTCAAGACTTTTAGCAGAAACTTTTGGTTTGTTGCTCATGACCATCTCCAAAGACCAAACACTTGCCTTCTACTTCTAGTGATTCACCTTACACAGTGACAAACCACTATACATACATTTGACATTTTTATTTTTGTGGCCTTGGAGATGATCAGAATGGGTTAAAGACTTAGCAGAGCCATAAATCCAAAGGTATGTGTCTAATTACACTCAATACAGAATCCTTAAAATGTAGAGCCTGTTGTTCTTCAACCAGAGAGCTGCTTCTCCCTTAGGCAGTGTAATCTTGAATAAGTAAAATGTATTAGACTTCAATGGTAGGTACCCCAGGGCAAGCCGACAGGAAAATGTCTGAATCCAAAAAGATGCCTCACAGCAGCCAGTTCTAGGCAAAGAAAAAAGGAAGAGGAAAAAACACTCTTTAAGCCATTCCAAACTTGGCTTGGGGAGAACATGGAAAGGGGGAAAGAAAATGTTTGGGTGTTTTTCTTCTTTTTCATGTGTTTTGTCTTGTTGGCATCTTATTGCCAGAAGATATTGGAGAGCCAACAATGTGCAATGTGGAACGTTAAAAATAAATCCTGTCTTGGAGCAATCCAAGATGCTTACCATGGAAATGAGGCTTTCCCAGTGTTCCAGCAGTGAACGAATCTGAAATCAGGGTTCCCTAGTGCCTATGTTACATATTAGAGTGATGAGAAAAAGAGCAGAGCAGGGAGAGACTACTATGATGGCAGAGAACGGGTCAACAAAATGACCAGAATGATGGGTGAGAGTCTGATGTCTAGACAGCATTCTAGTCATCAGTATGGTCAAGAATGGACTCCAGGGAGAGAAGAGCACATCTTTGAGATCCATAAATAAAGATACTTGCTTTTTGAAAAAAGTAATAGTGCAAGGTTCAAGCAATCTGGTTTTTAGTGGGTAGTTTCCTTTATGGTAATTCTTGTTCTATAATCATGAGTCTTTACTCAAGCCTTTACTCAAACAATGATAAATCTCTTTTGCAATATTTATCTTTCTTTCTGTTGAGAAGTTGAAGGTTTAAGTAATGAGATGATATACAGTTAGACCACTGAGCCTCTTGTTCTTTTTTCAAAAGTTAAGTATGACAGAACTCACTCACTGTACTATTCCCAACATACTCTCAAGGCAAAAAGAAAAATAAAGAAGCAAGGAAGAAAAAAAAAGAAATCTTAGCATTAGAAGCCAAAAAGAAATGAATATAAATGCCAATATATACAGGCAACAACTTTTCAAAATACATGGTGTGATTGGCTTTGATCTAGCATCCTCATGGATGGAAGTAATTAATGGAGACAATGATAAGTGTCTTTATCTGTTTGGGCTGCTGTAGCAAAATAGCATAACCTAGTAAGATTATAAACAACATAAATTTGTTTCTTACAGTTCTGGAAGCTTAGAAGTCCATGACTGGGGTCCCAGCATGCTTGGATTCAGGTGAGGGCTCTCCTTTCCCTTTCAAATTGCCAACTTCTAGCTGTGTCCTCACATGGTGGAAGGGGTTAGCTAGCTCTCTGGGGCCTCTTTTATAAGGGCACTGATCCCATTCAAGAGTACTTCACTCTCAAGACCTAATTAGCTCTCCATGGCCCCATCTTCTAGTGCCACTGCATTGGTGATTAGGTTCCCATATATAAATTAGGAGGGGACACAAACATTAAGACCATAGCAACGGGGATTGAATGAGAAAGAGGAACAGAGAGTAAATGGGGATAGTAAATCTGTAGATATAATAATCCTAATAGAATCCTTGTAAATTCAACTCTTTGGAAAAACTACCCAGAAAATAGCTGTGTTGCAAAAGTAAAATCTTGGAAAGTCCATGAGATAGTCAAATCAAAGTTGAGTCAAATCAAAGTTGAGTCAAATCCATTAAAGGGCAGCTGAAATTCAGTGAGAGAGCATTGTGACATTTCCCCCACCTGAATACCATTCCCCATTCTCTAGTGTTGTGGGGCTGCAGCAGTGGCAGCTGCAGAGAAAGTGGCCTATGCTGCTTGTTAGCTTATTTATGCCAGGGTATTAATACAAACCTTGTCCCTAAAATACTGTGGTTGTGGATTTTGGTCTGTCTTGTGGTTCCCTGAGAGAATGGTACAGAGACTGACAATTGTTTCATCACCATTCCACCCCTCCAACTTGGGATGGAGTCGCTACTCAGACTTTGGAAGTGGCTGTGAAAAGATTTAAACACATACATATCCCATGTGCACTTGGAAAAGGGATATCAGATGGGATAAGCAATAGACAAAAACTCCAGGTCTGGGAAGGAGGAGGCAGAAGAAGGTTAATGAGAAAATGAGGGTTCCAAGAGCCATCACATATGCTAGAGAAGACAGAGTGAAACACAAAATGCCCAGTACCCAAAACATGCTCAGAACAGATGTGAGAGGACTCTAGGCTTCCACCTCTGGCTGATCTGTAGGCACCATGCAAGTAGGAGGTAAAGACTAGGGCAGAGTCATAGGCAGCCTTGAAGAAAATCATTTTGGCCAAGCATGGTGGCTCACACCTGTAATCCAAGCACTTTCGGAGGCCAACACACGAGGATTGCTTGAGCCCAGAAGTTTGAGCCCTTCCTGCGCAACACAGCAAGACCCCATTTCTACACAAAACAAAACAAATATGATGGGTGTGCTGGTGCATGCCTGTGAGCCTTGATCACACCACTACACTCCAGTCTGGGCAACAGAGTGAGACCCTGTCAAAAAAAACAAAAAAGAAGAGAAAGAAAGAAAGAAAAAGAAAGAAAGAAAGAAAGAAAGAAAGAAAGAAAGAAAGAAAGAAAGAAAGAAAGAAAGAAAGAAAGAAAGGGAAAGAAAGAAAAGTTTAAGAACATTTCTGATTTCTGTTAGGTCACTGGCTGACTACTGAGATAACAAAGCAGAAACTTTAGTGACCACAAATGACAAGAAATACAGTCTTTCTTTGTGAAAATAGTTTGCAAAAGTAACTGAATAAATGGATATCTATAGCCATAAAATATCAACAACAGTGAACTCTGGGGAGGGAGAGAATCTGATCCCCTAAGTTACCAAACTATAGTAGGGTATCACGTCACACTCTCTAGGATGTTATATTAGTCTGTTCTCATGCTGGTAATAAAGACATACCCAAGACTGGGCAATTTATAAAGAAAAACAGGCTTCATGGACTCACTTTCACATGGCTGGGGAGGCATCACAATCATGGCAGAAGGTGAAGGAGGAGCAAAGTCACATCTTACATGGTGGCAGGCAAGAGAGCTTGTGCAGGGGCAACTCCTCTTTATAAAACCATCAGATCTCATGAAACTTATTTACTATCACAATAATAGCACAGAAAATACCCATGATTCAATTACTTCACGCTCCCATGTGTCACAATGTATATATGTATATGCATGTGTATATATATATATACATATACATATATACACACACACACACAATGGAAAATTATTCAGTCACAAAAAATATTGATATGTACTACCATATGGATATACTATGAAAACCTTATGTTAACTAAAAGAAACCAAACACAAAAGGTCATGCATTGTATGATTTGATGTAATATGAGATATCCAAATAGGTAAATGCACACAGACAGAAAACAGATCGGTGGTTGCTAGAGGCTTGGGGAAAAGAATAGGGAATAACGGTTTATTGGATACGTGGTTTTCTTTTCAGATGATGAAAATATTTAGGAGACAGACAGAGATGATGGTTGTCCAACATTGTCTATGTACTAATAGCCACTGACTTGTTCACTTCAAAATGGTTGATTTTATGCTATTTGAATTTCACCTCAATGAAAAGGAAAAGGAGAAGGAAAAATTTGGCTTCAGTGAAGAGGGAAATAGAAATATTTTAATGGGGTTATCAGTGCTTGGAGTAGGTTGTTTCCTTCTTAATTACTAATTGAGGAGTGATTTCAACATGATGCAATACTGTTGGACAGTATTCAGAAGCAAGGGAAAGCAAACAAACAAGGCAGAGAGGAAACAGTCTACAAAGTATGGATGTAGAATGACAACTGGAAGTGGGGGTTGTTCCCACCTGATGGGACTTATTTCGTCTTTGAAGTAAGACGAATGAATGTCAAGTTCAGAGAGAAGAAATAAAAAAAATTGAAATGGCTCCAGTAGAGAAGGAAAGAGAGAGCTGCATATGAGTCAAACAAGGGCTGAAGGCTCAAATGAGTTTCAAGGACAATCATTTAGAGTTGCACGTGCCATGTTTTTGTGTGTTTGAGCATGGGTAGCATGATTATCAGAAACAATCAGCTGCAGTCAGGCTGTGCTGTCAGTTAGTCATTCCTTTATGTCCAGGACTGTGAACATAAAGAAAACACATGGCCAAACATGGTGACTCATGCCTGTAATCCCTGCATTTTCGGAGGTTGAAGGAGGATCCCTTGAGCCCAAGAATTTGAGACCAGCCTGGGCCAAATAGTGAGACATTTTCTCTCCAACATTTTTTCTTTTTTTTTTAATTAGCTGGCATGATGGCCTACACTTGTAGTCCCAGCTATTCAGGATGCTAAGGTGGGATGATTGCTTGAGCCCAAGAGTTTCAGCCTGCAAGAGAGCCAAGATTGCACCACTGCATCCCAACAATTGGTGACAAAGCAAGATCCTGTCAAAAAAAAAAAAAAAAAAAAAAGCTGTCCAAGCTGATCTAGCCTTATGGTTTTATTACATGGGTGGTGTCATGGACATGAATGAATCAGTGAGGCAGGAGGTTGAAGATAGAATGGGAGAATATGGTCATTAGAGTGGGACATTTTAATTCAATAGTTCATAAATGGAGCAGGCTCTGTTGATGGTGGGCTCAAGCATGAGAGTGTGTGGCTCAGGAGGGGTGGAGGTGAGTTTCTGAAAATGAGGTCATAGACAGAGGCCAGGTGGTTTTATGAACTATACATGTGGATATTGATGTTGCCAACATTGATGGTAAAACTTGGGGTGAAGAAGACAATGTACTCATTCTTCAGTGAAAGAGGGAAAGGGACAATAGGAATAAGAAGGGTGCAGCAATGATCAAGCTGGGTGGTCTGTGGTATAGTCCTGGTCTGGATGTGGTATTGGTAAGTGGGGAAGATGACCAGTCTATCTCTATCTCTTGGGAAGAGAGCCATTTTTTAACTGGAGAGGGTGGGACCATAGGAGAAACAATCTAACTTACAAGGCTTCTGAAGCAAATATGCATCAATCTGAACAAAGGTGATCAACCTGGAAATAAGAAAGAAGAAGGGAAGAGTGTGTCCCTACTGTTACCTGAGCAGTCATAATTGTGGGTATGGGAAGAATCTGCAAATTAGAAATGTGTGCTCTAATGAGGGGCAAAGATGTTTCCCAAGGTTTACCTAGGTTTGCACTAAAGTCTCCAACTCTATTCATATCTTTTTGCTCTTATTCTAGAATGCCCAAGAAATCCTATGCAGACTAATCCGGTTTTCTAGAAACCTAGGGGAACACATTTAGTAGCAAGGTGGATATTGTGGGTTTAGATTTGGATGCACTGGAAACGTATATTTCTATTTTAACTAAATAAACTTATATTCTCATTTGTCAATTGGCTTATCCCAATCCTGGCTACTATATATAAAATCCAGTGATGTTCTGAATGTCTTTGTGCATATGATATTTGATTTTATACATATGTGTATGGGTACATATATTTATATACGTATATATGTACATTTATATATGTGTGTATATATAAATATACACATATACATATATATTAAATCAAATATCATATGCACAATGACATTCAGGAAATCATTGGATATTTTGGATACATATATTGGTATAAAACAGAGTATCGATAAGTGGATATTTGAAATCTTAGATGATTATGTGGAAAATTTAGTTCATGTTCAACTCTTCCTTACCACATACCCAGAAGCCTCTGTATTTTACTTCTTCCCAAGACTGAAAGCTGAAAAATACCATGTGAATATTGACTCAACTCATCTACAGCATGTTTGCTTGGAGGTAGTCATGCACCAAGTTAATAATATGCACTTTGAAGGGTCTGTAATTATGTAGTTTCATAGAACACAGTAATGGAGCTGATTTAACTGCCTACTGTGCAAATATGCATGAATACAATTTTAACCACCTAATATTTACTTATAATGTAATAGCTTCTTGAGAGGTTGTGGGTGGGGGCCAAGAGGTAGAATGTGGGAGCAATTTTACCAATGGGTATTTGAAGTAAATGGAGAAAATAACACCTCTTGAATTATTTATTAGAGAATTGAGGAAAATCTGGAAAAACTCTAGGTCATTATTTTACCATGTTGTTAGGTTTGATCTAAAAGCTTCAATTCTGTATATATCATATTTCTAGTATTTAATTTTAATATGATCTTATCAATTATTCAGATACCTGTCATGATACCAAACTTGTGAGTATGCGTCATTATTCACAAAAATTATTGCTGAACCACAAAAATATTGATGAACAACCAGAAACCAAGTGAAGTGGACTTGACAAATTTGGACCAAGACCATATTTGAGAGGACAAATTTGTCTGCCTACGCATGAAAATTAAACACAGAGCATGGAGATTTCCTTGACATTTGGAACAGGAAACATGACATGTTGTAGAACCAAGCAAAGGTCACACACCCAGGAAGTTCATAAACATTAGTAGTTAATTATTAATGGCTAATGAAGTATCCTTAACATATTATATTTTATTATGTCCAACTCAAATTTGCAGTTTCCCATGATTCAAAAGTCTAAAAAAGACATTACTGATGGTGCCTGATATGGTTTGGCTGTGTCCCCACCAAAATCTCATCGTGAATTATGGCTCCCATAATTCCTACATGTTGTAGGAGGGACCTGGTAGTAGGTAATTGAACCATGGGGGCAGTTTCCCCCATACTGTTCTTGTGATAGTGAATAAGTCTCACAAAATCTGATGGTTTTATAAGGGGCTTCCCTTTTCACATGGCTATTTTCTCTCTTGTCTGCCATGTAAAACATGCCTTTCACCTTCCACAATGATTGTGAAGCCTCCCCAGCCATGTGGAACTGTGAGTTCATCAAACCCCTTTTTGTTCACAAATTACACAGTCTCAGGTGTGTCTTTATCAGCACTGTGAGAACAGACTAATACAAGAAATTGGTACTGGTAGAGTGGTGTGATGCTGTAAAGATACTGGAAAATGTGGAAGCGACTTTGGAACTGGGTAACAGGCAGAAGTTGGAACAGTTTGGAGGGCTCAGAAGAAGACAGAAAAATGTATGAAAGTTTGGAACTTCCTAGAGACTTGGTGAATGGCTTTGACCAAAATGCTGATAATGATGGACAATGATATCCAGGCTGAGTTTGTCTCAGATGGAGTTGAGGAATTTGTTGGAAACTGGAGTAAAAGTGACACTTGCTGTATTTTAGCAAAAAGACTGGTGGCATTTTGCCCCTGCCCTAAAGATTTCTGGAACTTTGAACTTGAAAGAGATGATTTAGGGTATCTGGCAGAAGAAATTTCTAAGCAGCAAAGCATTCAAGAGGTGATTTGGGTGCTGTGAAAAGCATTCAGTTTTAAAAGGGAAACGGTATGAAAGTTTGAAAAATGTGCAGCCTGATGATGCAATAGAAAAGAAAAACCCATTTTCTGAGGAGAAATTCAAGCCCCTGAAGAAATTTGCGTAAGTAACAAGGAGCCAAATGTTAATCACCAAGACAATGGGGAAAATGTCTCCACGGCATGTCAGATACCTTTGAGGTAGCCCCTCCCATCATAGGCCCAGAGGCCTAGAAGGAAAAAATGGTTCTGTGGGCCAGGCCCAGTGATCCCCTGCTGTGTGCAGCCTAGGGACTTGGTGCCCTGCATCCCAGACACTCTAGCCATGGCTAAAAGTGGCCAAGGTAGCTCAGGCTGTGCCTTCAGAGGCTGCAAACTCCAAGCCTTGGCAGCTTCCATGTGATGTTGAGCCTGTGGGTGCACAGAAGTCAAGAGAACCTCTGCTAGGGCAGTGTAAAAGGGAAATGTGCGGTTGAAGCCCCCACAGAGTCCCCACTGGGGCACTGCTGGTGGAGCTGTGAGAAGAGGGCCATGGTTCTCTAGACCCCCGAAAGGTAGATCCACTGACAGCTTGCATCATGCACCTAGAAAACACTCAGATGCTCAATGCTGGCCCATGAAAGTAGCTGGGAGGGAGGATGTACCCTGCAAAGCCACTGAAGTGGAGCTGTCCAACACCATGGGAACCTACCTCTTGCAGAAGCTGACCCAGATGTGAGACATGGAGTCAAAGGAGATCATTTTGGAGCTTTAAGATTTGACTACCCCACTGGATTTCGGACTTGCATGAGGCCAGTAGCCCCTTTGTTTTGGTGAATTTCTCCCATTTGGAACAGCTGTATTTACCCAATTCCTGTACTTTTACTGTATATAGGAAGTATATTTAAGGTAGGATATTTGCCTTGTCTTAGATGAGACTTTGGACTGTAGACTTTTGAGTTAATGCTGAAATGAGTTAAGACTTTCAGGGACTATTGGGAAGGTATGATTGGTTTTGAAATGTGAGGACATCAGATTTGGGAGGGGCCAGGGGCAGAATGATATGGTTTGGCTGTGTCCCCACCCAAATCTCATCTTGAATAGTAGCTCCCACAATTCCCACATGTTGTGGGAGGGACCCACTGGGAGGTAATTGAATCATGTTTGTGGTTTCCCCCATACTGTTCTCATAATACTGAATAAGTCTCATGGGATCTGATGGTTTCATAACGGGTTTCCCCTTTTGCTTGGTTCTCATTTTTTCTCTTGTCTGCCCCCATGTATGACTTGGCTTTCACCTTCCACAATGATTGTGAGGCCTCCCCAGCCATGTGGAACTGTGAGTCTATTAAACCTCTTTTTGTTTACAAATTACCCAGTCTTGGGTATGTCTTTATCAGCAGCATGAGAACAGATTAATACAGTGCCATTTAGAAGTATAATGTTTTCTACTCTGTATTTTTATTTCAATGTTATCAGAAAATAAATTACAAATTATTTATAAATTCCACCATTTAATTTTTTTGTTTTCATTATATAAAGTATGTGGAGGAAGTATTGTGTTCTGTCTATCCAATATCAGCATCCAAAAGAAACCATATTAAGAATTTGATAGCTAATCATACAGATAATTTCCTATGTCTTCAAACACACACATGTGTATGCATGCCTACACACACACACACACACAAACACATTACTTTTGTGAATTAGGTATTTGTTTGTTTCTCCTGAACAGTATACCATGAGTCTATTTCCAGGACACAACATATAGATAATTTATATTAATGGCTGAATAGAGTTTCACAATTTGATCAGTGGTGTGCTGACAAATTTGCTGTGTTTGGATTCCCCAAGACCACCTCCAGGTTTGGTAATTTGCTTGGAGGACTTACAGGACTCAGAATACAATTGTGTTCAGTGCTATGATTTATTACAGCAAAATTATACAAAGAAAAATCAGCAAAGGGAAAAGGTGCATGGGATAAAGTCTGGAGGAAACCAGGAGCAAACTTCCAAAATCCTCTCCCAGTACAGTCATGCAGGACACACCTAATTCTTCCAACAGGGAATTCTGACAACACATATGAAATATTGCATAGGCATGAAGCTCATTAGAGACTCACTTCCTAAGGTTTTTATTGGGAAATGATCAATAGCCACCCTCTGCCTAGCATGTATCAAGGTTCCTCTGCCCAGCCTTAATCAATGTCTTTTAAGGAAAGTAGATGTTCCCCATAATCCCCAGTTTGCACAGCATAGGCACAATGAGGACTTAAAAGTTAGGGAATGGTGAGAACCCTCCCTAAATCCAGCAATCCAGACAGTAATCAAGGACCAACTCTGTAAGCAGGTCATTCTAAAGATAGTAGTCCTGCTATGTTAATTCTTTTCCGCATACTTGATCTATGGATTAAAAAGAGAAGAAAAACTAATTTGGAAGGTTTGCTCATTTTCATGGTATAAATAATTCTACCATGGCCAATTTCAACCTATCAATGTGATGACACCCAGTGGAGAGTTGAAAATGATTCAACAGTTGGCTCTTCACAAGCCAGTGCAAACTGTCTCCAGTACACCACTGAATCATAATTATTTATAATATACTTCTTAAGAGTGTAAAAGTGTGTGCCTCCACACTGGGAGATGTGTGTGTGTGTGCGTATGTGTGTGTGTGTATAGCCAACTGAAGTTAAAGTCAAAAGAGAAAATGAGTTAGAAACTTTCGGTGTTACAGGTAACCCTTCAGTCTCCATGACTGTCTTTCAACTGAACAAGCTGAATAAAAGCTGTTCTTTTCATAACATCTCACAAATAGTAAAATTTTAGAGCCACAAGGGACCTTTAATTCACACCTAACATTTCAAAAGTAAACAACCTAAGAGCCAGAGAATATATGTGACTTTCCAAGACCCCCTACTAACTATGGTCAAAATAGCAGAAATTAAAGTCTAGCTTCCTTGAGAGCTCAACTATCATCCTCAATAATTACAAAATAAAATCTCAAAATAAAATTTAAAGATATATAATAATTTATGAATTCTAGGTTTAAAGACTTTGATAATTTAATGTAATTTCTCAATCCCACTAGAACTGAAGGTGGATGCAAAAATTAAAAGCTGCAAAGGGAAAGTGGGCGTGAAAACAAATGAACACCTTCCTCATATTTTTCAGTAAGAAATTAAAATACGCAGTTTAAAAAAGACAAACAAGAAGTATATATGATTTCATATGTGTAAAGGCAATCCTAGAGAAAACTCAGAACAGGAAGTATTGAGGTGAGCTGAAGACAGAAGGAAAGAGCATTTTAACATTTCATTTTATAATGTTTTGTATGATTTTATATTTATGCATATATTTTCTTTTTCAAACAGATTTGACATATTTTTTAAAGAGAGTGAAAAGACTAGGGATCCATATATTAACAGTAGATATACCTGGTTTTAGGTAATTGGTGATTAAGGTAATTTTCTTCTTTTTTGCATTTCCCGATTTTTCTACATGAACATGTTTTTTTCATGAAGTATAAAGTTTGTTTTAAATTATTATTACTATTAATTCATTCTGAAAGAGTGAAGGGAAAGGAGACATTTATTGTCATCTATAAGCTAAAAATGTTAGTCTAAGCTCAGACTCCTTTTACATTACAGCCCAAGTTTCCGTATCAAAAACATATAGTCACAATTAAAGGAAATGGGAATATTCTCTCCAGTGTTATTACAGATAGGTAGCAGATATCTGATTAGCAGAGTTATTTGAAATTTAATCTGGAATTATAAAGTCTTTCTCTCCAACTTCTCAGTTTACAGTCCTTCTAATGCACTCTCTTATGTAAGCACACAAAGTTTTGGGAGCAGATAATGATTTTTTGGCACACAAACAGCAAATATTAACACAATAGGTTAGTACATAATCATATAATATGCATATATATCATAGCAAGAGAGAAAAAATATTTTAAGAGATGAAATAATCTATAATCTACTCAGCAGGTTATAAAGCAACTGGTTTTTGAGCTAGAAGTCTCATACAAGTTTTTTAATATATTAAAATATAGGGATTAATGAACAGTAGCTTTCACCTCTTACATAAAGGGTTTCAATTATGTTCTGGTGGGTCACCTTACTAATAACTTAATTTTTCTTCATTATTAGAAATATTTTAATAAAACTTATCTTAAGCATCTATTTTGTAAAATGACCTAATTGGAAACACTTATCAAACCTTTATAAATAGTTCAAAGAAAAAATTCAAAGAACATTAAAGATAAAATATTATCAGAAAAAGAGGAGGTAGAGAAGCTGAAAAAGATCATCTGTATCTTCTATATGTCTTTGGGTAAATTTCTAGTGAACAAGATTTGTTTTAGAAAATTTATTTTTTCAGAGATATAATAAATCAATTTGTAAGTTTATTTTTCTTGCAGCCCTGTGTTTTGTGGCTTTCTGGGTTATTAAATGTAGACAAGTCCTAGGTTACCATGTCACTGACAAGTAATCCTCCCTGGTTTTCTTTGCATCAATTGCTTTGTCTTAAAATTTATCTGGGTAGGTTTTGATGACTCTGAGTATTAACAATAACAACAACACTGTCCTCTGAAAAATTAGAAAGGCTGTTTGCATTAGTTCAGATTTCTCATTTCAGAAAAAAGAATATATTCCTGGGTATTATACAGTTTCTGACCCATGAACAGCATCGTTATTAGGGGAAACTGGAAGATGGCAGAATTATGGGCACTGGAAGTGTTGAAAACATGAGACAAATTCCAAATGAGTATACTTTAAAATGATGCCTGAAATAATTTAAATTATCCAACCTTTCAATTATTCACTCATATGTATGTTGAAAACTTGCATAATGCTCACTATGTACCAGGCACCCCTGAAGGTTCTAGTAGCACTGCAGTAAATAAACAAAATTTCTGGACTCAAGGAGCTTACATTCTTGTACATACTTTAAAAGACCAAAATCCAACCTGGAGTCACTACAAAAAACTGTGCTAAAATATACTGATGAGGATCTGAGGTTCTTCTTAGCTTCTGTTGGGAGGCTGGATTTGATCCCAGTATTTTCAGGTCATGAGCATGCAATTCTACTACTGTAAATAGATGAACTCCATGAAACCACAAAACCACCAACACGTAGATTTCTCCCACTTCTGTGACCTACCAGTAGGGCCAAATCTGATATTCACCCCACCCAAGCTGTGGCTGAATTTACTCTTGGATTCCAGGGAGGGGAAGGGCTGGTTTTCAACAGAGACAGGGCTCTAAGAATGTGTCCTTTCCCCAGTCCTCTGCCCACTCCCTTCCTTCTTCCCTCTCTGCACTTCATGCTAAAATCCCTGAATACCTCAGGCCCAGGAAGAGCCCTTTGTAAAAGGAATATCCCAGAAAAGTTTAATTAGAATGGTAAAAGTTATGGAGACACTGAGTGTAAAGAAGAAAAATCCTAACGATTTGAAACCTGCAACTTATGCACATATTTGCAGGGTAAACTATGGGAGAAAAAAACGCTTATAGTCTACAATTTTCTGAGTGCCAGGACAAGGGTCCATCAGTAGAGTTTACAAGGAGATAGATTGTGATTTTATGTAGGATTTTCTAAACGCTGGAGTCCCCTAAATTATAAAATGACCTGCCTTACATATTTGGATGTGTACAAAATGCTCAGTAGTCTGGTTGGATGTTATAAAACAAATTCCTGTATTAAGTTAGTCATACCAATGAATTAGTATTCATTGAATGAATTCTAAGAGATGAATTCTAAGAGATCCTGTCTGACATCCAAAGCTTCTGAGCCTCCATTCCCTTACCCATATGGTGATATCATGGGTCAGGGATACATTTTTTTTCCATGTAGACCCTATGGCCAGGGTTGTAGTATATAACCCTTTATAATAATTATATAATAATCGTATATAATAATTCTAGATATTATAATGTCAAAAAGTACATTTTGTGTAGATCACATAACACAGCTAGTAGGACCTTGGGCAGTATGCACTAATCAACTCGATTAGTAATTATTTCTTCAAACATTTAAATATTCCCATAATTTCAAGAAAATAAAATTTATACATGGACTTAAATATGTACAGGTCAGGTGTTGCCACCAAAATGAGGTTTTGTTTGTTGTTGTTGTTTTTCAAACACTACTCACACACAAAAAGTGGCCAAATTATGGGCATTGGTAGGTGGTTGTGAGATTTAAGTCACTTAAACTCTGGAGAGTGACATAGTAGGTGCTCTGTTACTGACCATTCACTGTCCTGTTTTTCACCGGGGTGGACCTCAGGTAAATCTTAAGATTTATCCTTGTGACATGGAGACTCAGCTTGAAACCACAGCTTTGTTAGTAGCTTTATGTTGTAAAGAATGTGTTAAACAGCAGCTAATTTTCTGATTTGGATACAGATGTACAGCACATACAATGTGCAGAGGTCACTGTTGGCACACACAGGCCACAGATGCCAATTCACAGCAACTCTTTTGACAGAAATGTTCTCAACCAAACAGAAGCTACCTTGACTAGGAGGCCAGCCTCCACCCCCATCCCGGGGGCTAGCCCACAGCTAACAATTCATGCAAAGGGTACAAAACTTGAGCCTCTTGCTTCAAATTGATACCATCTCTGTAGTGCTATTCAAGCTTCAAGACTACCCGTGGGATCAGGAGGAGAACCTGGACCCATCCATTTTTGCTTAATGTCTTTCCTGCCTTCTGCTTTTCTTACAGCTTTATAGCATTCACCAGAGAGCACTCCCTCAGTAAATCATGCGCACCTAATTCCAGTCTCAAGCTCTGTTCCTAGGGACTCTGACCTAAGACAAAAGTCAGTGTGATTTGTTTATGTTCTGTTCATACCCACACCGGTTTAATTGTAGAGATCCTTAAGCATTCACCTGTTGCACTAATATAGCATAATTCAATGAAAAGATGCTGGGCTCTGCAATCAGTTCAAATCTCTTAGCTACCCAGTGAATTATGGTACTCAATGTCCCCATTAAGGATAATGGTCTATGCACTGCAGGAGTGTTATAAATGGAAATAAAGTGCCTTAAAATAACTATCAAAGAATACACATAATAAGTGAAAATTCTATTCCTCCATAAGGATCACTGCTAGATTTTGGCACTCTGTAGGTTTGCAAATCATCATATTCTTTCCTGTCTACTGATGGAACATAGACGTGAAGTTTAATAAGGGGAGAACCACAACAGCATTTCTTAAAGATGCTTCCTCATAATTACATTGCCTCTGTTTGGGATGGAAGTATCTTCTCAATCTTGTGCTTGGAGCCATTTGCCCATGAGTCTGAACCTTCCAGCCTATAAATGTTCTATGGAATATATAAGAACTCTGGTGATTTTCTACTTTTATCTTAAAACCTTTGCCATGTACCTGAAAAGTGTTCTGTTCATTATAAAGGGAGGCTGACACACGCAGCCACACCACCTAAGGAGGGACACAGAAGCAGCTGTGTTTATTTGAGCTTTGCTCTGCCAGGTCTTAGAATCTCAGCTGGAAGAGCCTTAAGACAGAACTAACAACACTCACATGGCCTTATGTCAACTATACTCCATGGGAACCTCTTTCCCATTTGTCCTTCTTAATAGAAAAAGAAAGAAATTTCAAGAAAAATAATTTCTTATAAAACCTACAAGAACTGAGGAAAGAGATGCAATCACTATTATTTATTACTCATCTTTATTTTCAAATCAGTCCTGCAAAATATGTTATTAATCCCATTTTATTGATGAGTAAACAGGCACAGAGAGCTTTAGTAATGTTTTCAAACCATATACTAGTAAGTTGAAGAATTACTGTTTGGACCCCTAACTGTCTGACTCAAATGTCACACTGTTTATATATATTGTCCACACATATTTGCAAGATATTGGGTAAATCCCCAAAGCTAGGCATTGGATATCTTTCTATTCTGCTGGTTAGCTCGAATCAGGTCACGGAAGTAGAACCTCTGGAGCATGTGAGAAAGGTAAGAAAACATTCAAATTATATTCATAATAAGTTTCAGATTTTATGAAGCATTAACACTATGTAAATTATAATGAATACATTTAATCAGCTAGGTTTGAGTTTACCTGAATAAAATGATCCATTAGAAGTAGATGATTGGTAGATCAATAGATACATAAGATAACACCATTCAGAAACCAACTGGATACTCCCAGATTTTACCAGCTGCACAACCATAGTAATAATCAACTATCCAGCTTATGAAAAGCAACATCTTGGCATAGAATAAAGGCTGAAATTTTTACCATGAAACAAAGACTCTGAATTTTAAGGACTCTATATAGAAATAATTTCTTTTTATGGAGTTTAAGAGGTCAAGCAATCTCCAAGAAACTTGAAATGCAAACAACACTATTTGTAGCTTTGCAGGACTGAGCAATTTGTTAAAATGTAAAAAGATTCCTACCTACCTTGGGACACTTGATTCCTAACTGTTGTGTCATCTGCCTCCTTTAATTTTCATATTTGGTGAAAAGAAAAAACATAAACTTTCAAAATCCAAATCCCATACCTCTAACATCAAATAAATATCCATGAAGTCATCTTCTAACACGTCAGTTTGGGGGAAAATTAGGGTGGGGAAATATGCCTGCTGTCATTATATTTATTTCATTAAAATTTCATGGAATTTCACTAAATGAAGGTTTGAATGGATGAGAAGCACCCAGAGAATACACTGAAGCAGCAGGATTTCTAATCAGCTTTGGAAGATGAAACAGTACCTTATGAAATATAAAAAGACAGTATTAAACAGACAAGACATCTACCTTTGGGTATTGTTAATATTGCATATATTTGACTAAATTGGAAATAAATATGTAAGCCTTTTTCTTTGCACTATTTTATATATTTTGTGCCTTTCTTGATTTTTAATGTTTATTTTTGAATCTTACACCTATGAGCCACTTCTTAAATATTTCCTTCTTCCATATTTCATTGCTCTTGGCTTCTTTCCTTTCCTCTCTCTCTCTGAGGATTTTATGGGTTTACACCACAGTCTCTGCTACTTAGGAAGTGTTGGATAAGTACTTGTTTGATTGATTTATTGCTGACCAGTTTTACCTACTCTCCTGTCACCTCTGTTTTATCACCCCAGCATTTTCTTTGGGGAAGAAGTGTCAAATAATTGAATCAAAGCCAGCAGTCAAGTCAGGTCAAGAAAGGTGCATTGGAGCAAGAGGATGCTCATGTCACCAGCACTGCTGGGCAGGAAAGACCAAGGAAAGCAAATGGCTCAACTTGAGAAAGCTCATCTGAAAGAGTTAAGATAATGAGAGAATGCATTCTTTCTGTAAAAGATTTAAAAGCTCATGTAAAGTCAAATGTAACAATACTTATTAGAGACGGTGGCAAATACTTTATGACTCAATAAGGCAAATCTCCTCAGTAGCAGAGTTCAGAAATATTACATTTTTTTTCCAAATTTGTCGGTAGAAAAAAACAAAACAACTAAATCTAACTTTGATTCTCACGTCTTCTTCCCTCTCTGTGATTAAGACGGAAGGTTGTAAACTCAGCTGCAATTGTAAATAATTAATGCTAAACATTTAAGTGCTACTGCAGCACAAAACTGCTCCAGTAATGGGGTTGGCTTCATAATTGCAGAAATTCTAACTTTTACAAATTTTAGGCATAGTTTATTTCAGAATGAAATACTAGAAACTGAATATTACAGAGATAAACATGTTTAGCATTGAGATAAAAATTCAACAACAAAGATTTTATGAAAGTAATATATTTATTTAATCTATACAATATTTCTTTGCAATAGTAATTACATTAATGGAGAATTTTAGAAAAGCAATTTATTGGAGCTACCGTATTTCAAGACTTCATCATAGACTATTTTATCCTAACACAATCTATGTTACACAGCAGAAAACTGAGACTCAGGCAAGCTAAGTGTTATACCCAAAAGTCTGTGGATGTTATACTAGACCTGGCTCTCACAGGCTGGAGAAAGACATCTCTACATGTGGGTTGCTACCTTTAGTTCAGCAACTTCCAGTTTGCAACTTAAAATTAGTCATGGTGGATTCAGAAACACTACATAGAAATTGGCAAATTCTTCAAATTAAGGACTATTTCTGCTTGAGAACTGGTTGTTAAACATTTATCAGCTCACCACTGCATATAGGTCACAGTCAGCAGAGTCGGGATATGAAGCGAATTTTTCTGGTTTTAATCCTGAGCTTTCATACAACTTCTCAGCCACTCAAATACATTTTTCATGTGCAATAGAGTTGTGTATTTTCAATAAAATAAAAGCATCGTTATTAAATGGCGATAAATAACTTTCCAGATCAAGAAATGTGGTAACTGTACGCTCCAGCAAGTACAGAATAAACCCTATAAATGATAAGATCTATAGTTATTCTACTTTAAAATTGTAAACTTAAAATAATTACATTATAACTTTAAAATAATTTAATTGGAGAAAATCAAAACCTAAATACATTTTTAGATAATACTATGTAAAAGCAGAGGGCAGTGTCAAACACACTAGTACTCTGAACACAAGAGAGATTAAAGGAAATATTTGTTTTCAACAGAAAAGCAGGTGGCAGTGAAGAAAAGATGTGAAATCCAGAATGACAGCATGAGAGGGTCTACTGTGCAAAATGATCAGACAAAGCAAAAAAAAAAATCATAAAGATATTAGGAAACTTTCAGGGAGTTTTACCTCATACTAAGACATAAAGAAATACCCTATCAGCTTTATGTCTATAATATGCATAGTCTTAAGTTACCTGGAGTTGATTATTAGTATCATTCCTAGTGAATATTCAAGGATATTTAAAACGAATTTATCCACCACCAGAAGCTGCCTCTTTTTTTCATTAATAAATCAGGAAAGATGAGAGAGATCTGCAGATTGGTTAGGAAGACTTTGATAATAATTTGGTCTTGTGTTTCTCTTTTCATTTCATCATCTTCATATGAGCAAAGATGAATTCAGCTTCAAATATTTGGAAAACAGAGCAAAAATAATTCCTGCCTATGAGGAATTGCTATAGGACCTGTCTTGTTATAAAAATATTCCAAGTGATAATAGAGTCAGAATCCACAAAATCTAGATACTAAAGCTTAAATATGAAATAGTAATTAGCCACAAGATCATGCCAATAGCCAAGGGTTACACTTTCAGTCCTTCACATTTGGGTTATCTGATGTTTCGTGCATTCATAATTGCAGAGATTCTTATTAAAAATCCAGGATCGGCCGGGTGCGGTGGCTCACGCCAGCACTTTGGGAGGCCAAAGCGGGCGGATCACGAGGTCAAGAGATCAAGACCATCCCGGCCAACATGGTGAAACCCCGTCTCTACAAAAAATACAAAAATTAGTTGGGCATGGTGGCATGCACCCACGTGGCAGGAGAATCGCTTCAACCTGGGAGGCGGAGGTTGCAGTGAGCCGTGATCACGCCATTGCACTCCAGCCTGGTGACATAGTGAGACTCTGCCTCAAAAAAAAAAAAAAAAAAAAAAATCCTGGATAACTCTAGGCAGAGGGAATATGAAGAAAAGGCTGATAATGAATTGCTAGTAGACATGACTCAATATGATTTATGATCTTGAAATCTGTAGTGAACCAACAGTTGAATTTGTGTTGTGTATCTGAAAGGTCTTTACCGAGGGGCACTGAACAAATCTACCATATGCCAAAAAATTATGTCTGGACCAAATTTTTGAGGCCAAGTCTCTGGGAAAATGAGCAGGAAGGAAGCTTTGGATTGACTACAACAAACTTCTTTGTCCTTCAAGAGCCGAGAACATGAAAAGTAAGATCAAAGAGTAAACATGGGAAAATACAGACTTTCTCCCAATTTCTTGGCACATTCCCTTTGTTATCTCACAAGGCACAAGCTAATACAGCCAACAGTATCAAGCCAAAAGCCAATGACTGCCTTTACAATGCATGGAGCAACAGGATGGTAAAAATGAATGAGTGAATAGTATCAATGAGCTCCTAAAAGAAACAACAGCCAGTTTACTAAATTTCAATGTTCCCTTCAAAACAGTCATTTACTGTGTTAGCCCATTCTAATGATGCTATGAAGAAATACCCAAGACTTGGCAATTTATAAAGAAAAAAAAAGAGGTTTAATTGACTCATAGTTACACATGGCTGGGGAGGCCTCAGAAAACTTACAATCATGACGGAAGGCACCTCTTCACAGGGCAGCAGGAGAGAGAATGAGTGCCAGAAGGTAAATGCCAGGTGCTTATAAAACCATCAGATCTCATGAGACTCACTCATTATCACAAGAACAGCATGGGGAAAACCATCTCCATAATTCAATTACCTCAACCTGGTCCTGCCCTTGACACATGGGGATGATTATAAGTCAAGATAAGATTTGGGTGGGGATACAGAGTCAAACCATATCACTCCACCTCTGTCCCCTTCCAAATCTCATGTCCTCACATTTCAAAACACAATCATGTCCTTCAAACAGACCCCAAAGTCTTAACTCATTCAAGCGTTTACCCAAAAGTCCAAGTCCAAAACCTCAACTGAGACAAGGCAAGTCCTTTCTACCTATGAGCCTGTAAAATCAAAAGCAAGTTAGTTACTTCCTAGATACAATGGGGATACAGACATTGGGTAAATACAGCCACTCCTAATGGGAGAAATTGGCCAAAACAAAGGGGCTACAGGCCCCATGAAAGTCCGAAAATCAACAGGGCAGTCATTAAATCTTAAAGTTCCAAAAAGATCTCCTTTGACTCCATGTCTCACAGCCAGGTCACACTGATGCAAGAAGGGGGCTCCTGTGGTTTTGGGCAGCTCCACCCACGTGGCCTTGCAGGGTATATGCCCCACCCACCCGCCCACAGCTGCAGTCATGGGCTGGCATTGAGTACCTGTGGCTTTTCAAGGCGCATGATGCAAGCTGTTGGTAGATCTACCATTCTGCAGTTTGGATGATGGTGGCCCTCTTCTCACAGCTCCACTAGGCAGTGCCCCAGTAGGGACTCTGTTTGGGGGGCTCGGACCTCACATTTCTCTTCTACCCTGCCCTAGGAGAGGTTTTCCATGAGGGTTCCACCCATGTGACAAACTTCTGCCTGGACATCCAGGCATTTCCATACATCCTCTGAAATCTAGACAAAGTTTCCCAAACCTCAACTGTCTTATGCACACCCAAAGGACCAACATCACATGGAAGCTGCCAAGGTTGGGGAATTGCACCCTCTGAAGCAATGGCCTGAGTTGTATGTTGGCCCTTTTTAGCCATAGCTGGAGCAGCTGGGACGTAGGGCACCAAGTCCCTAGGCTGCACACAGCAGGGGGGCCCTGGGTAAGGCCAAGAAAATGATTTTTTCCTCCTAGACCTCTGAACCTGTGCTGGGAGGGGCTACTTTGAAGGTCTCTGACATGCCCTGGAGACATTTTCCCCATTGTCTTGGTGATTAACATTCTCCTCCTCATTACCTATGCAAATTTCTGCATCAGGCTTGAATTACTCTCCAAAAAATGGATTTTTCTTTTGACCCCATCACCAGGCTGTAAACTTTTTAAACTTTTATGCTCTACTTCCTTTTGAATGCTTTGCCACTAGAATTTCTTCTACCAGGCCAGGAGTGGTGGTTCATGCCTGTAATCCTAGTACTTTGGGAGGCTGAGGCAGATGGATCACCTGAAGTCAGGAGTTCAAGACCAGCCTGGCCAACATTGGTGAAACCCTGTCTCTACTAAAAATACAAAAATTAGCCGGGTGTGGTGGTGCACATCTGTATTCCCAACTACTTGGGAACTGAGGCAGGAGAATTACTTGAACCTGGGAGATAGAAGTTGCCATTAGCCAAGATTGCACCACTGCACTCCAGCCTGGGCCAAAGAGCAAGACTCCATCTCAAAAAATAAAATAAAATAAAATAAACAGAAATAAAACAGATTTTTTTTCCACCAAATACCATAAATCATCTCTCTCAAGTTCAAAGTTCCACACATCTCTAGGGCAGGGGCAGAATGCCACCAGTCTCTTTGTTAAAGCATAGCAAGAGTAACCTTTATTCCAGTTCCCAACAAGTTCCTCATCTCCATTTGAGACCACCTCAGCCTGGACTTCATTGTCCATATCAATATCAGCATTTTGGTCAAAATCATTCAACAAATCTCTAGGAAGTTTCAAACTTTCCCACATCTTCCTGTCTTCTGAGCCCTCCAAGTCTCCAGAAAGTTCCAAACTTTCCCACATTTTCCTGTTTTCTTCTAAGCCCTCCAAACTGTTCCAACTTCTCACTGTTACTTAATTCCAAAGTTGCCTCCACATTTTCAGCTATCCATATAATAGCACCCACTCCTGGGACCAATTTACTGTATGAGTCTGTCATCATGCTGCTGTGAAGGAATACTCAAGACTGGATAATTTATAAAGAAAAGAGGCTTCATTGACTCAAAGTTCCACATGGCTGGGGAGGCCTCAGAAAACTTACGATCATGGAGGAAGACATCTCTTCACAGGGTAGCAAAAGAGAGAATGAGTGCCAACAGGGGAAATGCCAGATGCTTATGAAATCATCAAATTTCATGAGACTAACTCATTGTCATGAGAACAGCATGGGGGAAACCATGATTCAATTACCTACACCTGGTCTTGCCCTTGACACGTGGGGATTATTACAATTCAAGGTGAAATTTGGGTAGGGACATAGAGCCAAACCATATCACTGGCTATGCTTTGCTTTTCTTTTTCTTGGCCCCAAAAGAATATGCCAAAAATATTTTAATGTTGATTCAGATCTTTCAGGAGTGGGTATGGGGGATCATTAGCTTACAAAGTACCCTGGGAGATTCCTAGACGAGAAGTTATCAGAAATATGGCCAGAACTTCTCAGTTGACCTCAAGAAAGAACAGGAAGCTTCTAAAACATAACCGGCTTACCTCAAGTTATATTTTTCAAAGCAGGTGTAGGATCATACCTGCTTGTCAAGCATCATAAAAAGTGCGAAGAATTCAAAATCTGAGTCAGTGTCTGCTGAATTCCCAAATAAAATATTCTGTTCTCCAAACAGTGGAGTCCTGCTAAGTTTATCCTTAGAGGGACCTAATAGGAAGGTAATTATTGGCAGCTTATTCCTCAAACCCTAACCTCAGCATACTCTCGTGAGGTCCATTTTCTAGGATTGTTCATCCGTTTGCCTAAAAGCAATTAAATGTGACTCAAATTAAACAATTTTAAGACCAAAAGAAAATATTCTAAAACAGATCTAACCCCACTTCCTCTCATGCCAGGAACTAAGTGATGCAGAAATATGAAAAAGAAGTCATGTTTTGAGGAAAACTCCCACATTATCTGAGGCAAGGGTGCAGATTACAAAGACACACAGGTTAGCACCAGCAGGTGGAGCTGGTTAGAAAGTAGTAGGAAAGAGTATACATTCTCAAAAGATCTAGAATAGTAATAAATTCTGAGGGGTTAAGGGAAAATGGAGGAGTGAGAAGAACATTCAAAGATATTTATTTAGGGTGATTTTTCTTTTAATCCTGTGAAAGAAGTACTCTTATCTTAAGGGACTTTGGGTTAAACCTTCAGTAATCTGTGAGGACTTGGGGACTTAGAATAAAACGTGAGCACAGTATTTGATCAAGGAGAGGCAAGAGCTGACAAAAAAAAATCAGACTATTAAAAATAGACAAGGAAGAGCGGAGTAGATAAGTAGTAAAGTATGTTATGAAGATGCCTGATATTGCCTTCCTTCACCCTTTTTCTTTCTTTGGATGTGTTTGTGGGGGAGACCCTTTGGGATGTGAGTAAAATACTATATAGCGCTAAACTGAGAGGAGGTGGAGAGTAAGGCCAGAGGCATACAGCTGTAAAAAATTAAGTGCCCCAGAATAAATGTTTATGCTATTCATTTTGTAATTACAATAGTAACAAATATACTTTGAAAAACTTAGAAGTTGCAGTAAAATAAAATATAAACAAGAAAATAAAATTTCCTTTTTTAATTATTACCCAGAAATAATCACTCTTTCCACCAGTATTTTCAATGTGTTTCTGTTTATTCTACATTCCATACCTTGATACTCTTAAGTGCTGTTTTGTTACTTGACTTTGTATGAAGAAAATTTGACTTCGTGAAGGTATTTTCACATCTTTAGATAATGTCCCAGAATGTAATTTTTAATGTTGCATATTATTTTGTCAACTAATATGACTAATTTAACAAAACACTGTCCTATTGTGATATTGAATTTTAGTTTGTCCTTATGAGTACCTGTATCTTTAAACTATGTATTAGGGCAAATTTATGAGAAGAAAATCGTGCAAACATTTGATGTTCATTACCAAATCATACTCCCTAATGGTAATATGTTTCCATTTCAGTGTCCACATCAGCATTTAACATTACTATTTTTTAAAATATCAGTTACTCTGATAGGTAAAAAAGTTTAAAAGACCCCAAATTTATTCAATTTCCTTTTCATTTCCACCAAAATTATTTCAATTAATGTGTGAATGAATTCTGCTGGGAAGGTTAATTTTGATATTTATCAAAGTATTCTTTAAAATGTGTTATCAAAAGTCAGTATCTTATTTTGAAAAAAAGTCTCCATTAACTTTGTTAATCTATCTACAGCCAGTAAGCATTATTCAAAAGATTTTCTTTTTTCATAGAGAAGAAATACTTTCGTTTCGAAAACTTTGTAATAATCACTGAAGCCATGCTTAACTATTACCATACTAAACAGAGAGAATAACAGATTCCAAAACTCCTGAGAATCCACAAACTATAGTTTATTTTCAATTACCTCCACATTTCATCAAACCCTCCAGGCTTACTATAAATACCTACATAGAGGATTGACTGTGTCAACCCAAAGCTAAATACCAGCCAGTCTGACCTTTTTACTAAACTGACTAAAATGATTGGATCAACAGTTATTTCTTTTTGCTAAACATACTCCCTAATTTTAATTAAATTCTCCATCATTATGGCTAACTTTGATTCCTGACAATATCCTGTCAGGAATGCCAAATAGAATCCTGTCTAGAATTTTGACAGGGAGTGTATATACATGACTGTATCTAGAAAAATCTCTCTCTATCACTCTCTCTTCCTCCCTTTCACCACAAATATTATTTCTTCATATTCTGAAAACTCTATATCCCCTTAGGGAACTGTGTCTTTCTCATGTAATAACTAGACATTACTCATAGGTTTAACCTGCTTTTTCCTGTTTCTGTACAATAAATATTATCTAATGAAAACAACATAAAGACTTGTTTTTTGGATTGGTGGGAGGGAAAAAAAGAGAAAGTCTGTCAGTTCATCTTGTATGAGGAAATGGCAGCTTTTTCTCAGATGAACTGCAAAATAATAACAATGCATTCATGGAGGGTTTTCCCATTTGCCAAGTACATTCACATACAGCTTAATGCCTCATTCTTAAAAATGGACCCTGGGGAAGGTGTGCATGGGAAAATCATGAGAGATGGGTATTACTGTACTCAATTCCATGTCATTCCAAGGAAACTGTGATTCCATCCCATTCCTCCTTTACTTTAACAATTTGCAATCCCCAGCAGCGGCTGGGCAGTAGCTCCCCACTGGCTTACCTGCCCCTTCCCACATAACCCCCCGAAGCACTTCTGTATATTTACCGTCCCTCAGAGGTCCAATTCTCTCTATTTTATTGAAAAGGAACTGGGGTTCTATGAATGTGAGAATTCCCCAACATTGCATTTCTAAAAACAGGAGAGTATTAGAATTAAGTTGTACCTTCTGAGCCCAGTGCTTTTCCTACTATGTCATATGTCCATAAAATCCAACTATCAGATTTCCATTAGCATTGCTTGAGTATTTCAGAACTACATTTATTTTTAAATGTAGATCCTCTATGAGAACTGTTAAGGTATAAGAATTATGCTTAGACCATAATGCAATAAATAATATTGATAATCAATGGCACTTGCCAGGCTATAACACAAGGTCAGTACTAACAAATTCTCACTGACTTATAACTTCTACATGTTAAACTATGGTATAACTATTTCAAAATATCTCATTTCTATAGTGATAGAAACTTGGTATTGCAGTATTTTAAAATAAATAAATATTTCACATGATTAGTGTAAAATATGTGCATTCTACATTCATATTCCCTTTGTTTATACTAATGCATAGCACGTGGAAGAATTATCCACTAGCAAAATGATTATTTAATTAGAATATATGGTCTCAAATATTCTATGTAATTGAAAGTTTCTATAAAATGCTTTTATCATAAAATGTACCAAGAGACAGTGTTTTTCTTTTTGTTTATTTTTTTTTTTTTTTTGAGACGGAATCTCGCTCTGTCGCCCAGCCTGTGTGCAGTGGCACAATCTCCGCTCACTGCAAGCTCTGCCTCCCAGGTTCATGCCATTCTCCTGCCTCAGCCTCCCAAGTAGCTGGGACTACAGGTGCCCGCCACCACACCCGGCTAATTTTTTGTATTTCTTAGTAGAGACAGGGTTTCACCATGTTAGCCAGGATGGTCTCGATCTCTTGACCTCGTGATCCTCCTGCCTTGGCCTCCCAAAGTGCTGGGATTACAGGTGTGAGCCACCATGCCCGGCCCTGAGACAGGGTTTTTCTATATAAATTGTCTAACTGAAATCTCTAGAACAATGACAAAGAAAGAATGAAAGGAAAAACTATTATCTGGCACAATCTTCAAGCATTTGGACAAAAAAAAAATCATGAAATAAAGATTAAAGTAATAATTTGCATACATTCCTAACTGTGTTAAATGTGCACATCGTTACAATGCATCTGAAAATCATTGTCTGACTTATAATGGATAATAAAGAAGTACACACCCTGAGTACTCCAAAATCTTTTGAAGAATACAAAAAATGCCATATCTTACAAATACACATTCTCAATACTATCTATTGCCTGCTTTTAGTAGAATGAGGCTCTGAATGGTAACTATAAATCACTATAGTGATAATTATTAATATCACTTTAATTAATATTAAAGTGATATTATTTAATATTGTGATATGCAAAGCAAGAAATACAAACCCTTCTTGTCATCTTGCTCCTCCTTTCTTCATGCACCCACCTGAACTATTCTCCTTTCTATATTCACTACCTTAGTTAGTGGTTTTGCAAATTATAAGTGAGAGTTGCAGTGTTTTGCTCAGTCAAAATTTATTTTCCATTCTCTTAGAAACAGGACTCCAACTTTTCCCTAGACAGTTCCTTCTCTCCTTCATGGGGTTCTCTCAGAGAATGATGTCCCTGGCCACAGTGGTGAGTTCAGATCTAAGCGGGTGGCCTAATTAAACTTTTGAAGGAAGGAGTACAAAGGTCTCTCCTTCCTGCTAGACTTGTTGCTGTGAAGATGCTGGGCTGGAGTCACTGTCTGCCTTGATACCATCACATAGAGCCTGAGAATAATTCCAGCATAAAGGAAAAGAAAGCCAAGAGGTGAGGAGAGCTCAGAAAATGGTGGCATGTTTTGGATGCCTAGATCCCAGCCACATTCTACCCCTGGAATTTTTAGTTATGAGCCAATACACTCTTTTTTATTATTTTTATTCCTCCTAACACACTATATTTTTCTTCTGAGTTGTATTTTCTGTCATTCTCACATCATCAACCAAGAGAGTCTTAATATAACTTCTCAAAGGCCTCTGCTAGAAATAGCAACTCTGCCTTGATTTCCCCTTTTATCTTGTGTCTTTTCCCCACCAGTGTTCACTGGATGATCAATTTCTGTCTGTTCTCTTTCCAAGATTCCTCTCAGATCAGCCTCCTTCCTCCCATTATTCCTATCACCAGCAGTTGTTGGTGTTTTTTAAATCCAGGCTTTCCTCATCTCCTACCTGAACTATGGTGATTACTTTCCAATCGGGTTTCTATTGTCTAATTCATCCTTCACTATGCTAATAGTGGCATCTACATAACCTGCAAAACAGAGAAACTCACTTCTCTTCTCAAAATTTAGCTGTGGCTCTCCACTGCAAAAATAATTAATAATAATAATAATAATAATAAAACAAAACACAATAATGAGCAACAATAAAACAGAATATTTAGCTTGGTATTTAAAGCTTTATCTTTCCCCTTCTTTTCCTGTCTTGCAGGATTTTCCTCATCCACGGACTCTGCTCAGGCCTCATGCCCCTGCTCACTATTCCTTGGCCATCGTATTAAGTTCCATATCTCTGTGAGGTTGCAGAACCAGTTACGTCTGCCAGGAAAGAGTTTTGTGTCTTTCTCCACCTGCCTAACCTCTACTTCAAGATACGACTCAAATTTTTCTATGAGAGTTCTATTTTTACTGTGCCAGCTAAAATTATTATTCACCTCCTTTATATATAACACCACTATAAAAACAAGTACCATATTATAATTTGTGTTACCTTTCCACTCAATAGATATTAAATTCCTTGAGAGCACAGACTAGACCTTACACATCATTTTCACCTTTCATTAAAAAGAACTATGCTTTGTGAATATATTAGCATAATCACTACCACCTGAAAGCTTGTATAGATGAATACATCTGTATCTAAAGAAACAGCAAAGACCAAAAATAAAATGGCCCGTGAAAGTATGGATACATTTTCCTGGGATTAGATAAGGCAGTTGAGAAAATTGCCTTGTTTTAATAATTCAGGTTAAAAATGAATGTGTCTAGACTGCTTCCACACCACTCCAATTAAAGTGGAGATGTGCTCATTGTCCCAATATTAGATGTAGACAACTTGAGAAGAGAGTTCAAGAGCCAAAGTGAGACCAGAATAATAGACCATCTCATCACCAGATAGGGCTCCCCTAACTGTGCATATGATAATGATATTGTAAAAGAGGAATCGATCGCATTGTATTTTCTCTTTGCACGAGTTTTACCTCAACTTATCCTTTTCATCACTGACATCTACCGCTTTACCTCATTATTTCTCAGTAACCCTCTAAGAAGCTCCTACTTTGCCTGGATATGGAAAACTTCTGCTGTGCCTTAAGTACATCTCTGTGAGCCTGCCTCCTCACCCTGCACCTAGAGAGATGAAAGATTATGAAACAGTGAGGGTTCCTCTCTCCAGAAGAAGAAATCAGAACAATCTCATATCAGAAAATGGACCAGAATCAGCAGAAAAACAGCCTGATGGTTAACCATGCTTTGTGGTCTGTGACTCAACTGAACTATCTGAACTTAACTTTAATGATCTCAAAGGTCAACACAGCTTCTGACAACCACAGTCTGAGGTTCAGCAATTGGCCAGCACCAAGCTTCTCTACAACCAGCCAATCCAGAACTGACAAGTCAATAATGCGTTTGAGTCAACCAATCTCTTTTCCTTGTGGAGTCTTCAGGCCTTGAAAGTCATACACTTACTTTGGTGGAGGAGATGGTATTCTGGGAGACTATTTTCCTGTGGATATACCCATTTACAAGTTAGTTTGCAATTCTCTCGTAGTTGTTCTCTGATACTTAGTTGGAAGGCTCATCCCTAAGAGCCTCATTCTTGTATATTGAATAAGTTTACCATGCTCTGGTCAGTCATAACTCAGGTTAACACTCTAAGTCTTTATTCTCTTTTTATCATGTGGTTATTGTCCGAATATTTCCAAGTTGTCAAAGCTATTTCAATTAGTTGTCAAAGCTACTTCAATCTGACCAAATACACCAAGCCAACTCTCCAAATTATACAGATAACTCAGAACTTTGAGACAGATGTTCAGTTAGTTCATTTCAGAACATACACGAAAGCCCTGTCAGCAACCTGAGCTGAGCAGAGCGTGCGTAGACACTTGGGGAGCAGGATGAAGCATTTCATAGTCAAGTGGCTGAAATTATTGGCAGCACTTACAATTCAAACATGGCTGAAATTTTAAACAAACATCCCAGGCCCCATCTCTCTATCTACTCTATTATGAGTCCTTTTATTTATTTCAGCAAGTTAGAACAAGACAGCTGGAACAATATGCCAGCAGCATTTCCTCCAGCATTTAACCACATTGAAAGAGAAAACACCTTTAGAAACATTGGAGGTGTCACCTTAATTTTTTTTTGATTAAGCTCTTATTTTAAACTGTCAAAATGTGTCACATTATTAACAAGTCTTTATTCAAAAAATACTTTGGTGCATATTTGGGAATACAAAGAGTCACCATTTTACAGGGGATCTATTATTTTAATATACTTTCCTCTATGTCACATGATATGAAATAAATGATAAAAGTATAATATGTAGACATCTGAATTACAGGTTTAATATCTACATTTTAAAAGTGGCAAGTTTGAGAAACAAAACTACAACTCTAACAGCCTTTCATTGGCTTTATAGACCTGAATTACTAGTGTTTCTAATATATTAGTTATTAAAGAACTATGAGATCATGAAATATTAATCATTTACAGTGGGCCAATGGAAAGGTGCTAATTAATACCATCTTAGAAAATTATTATTATTACTAAAAACAATACTGAAAATGAATGAAATTAAATACATATAAAGTATAGTTCTAGTAACTGACTTATTATTCATTATGTGATGCCCATAGCAATTTTAAGCTGGTAAAAGTTTGTTTTTGTTGTCTTTTTTTATATGGCAGATTTAGGATCATAATAAAAATAATAAGTCTCCCTACTTAACATCATTTTAATTATTTATACATTGTATATACCTGTACAATAGTCTCTAGTTTTGCTTTATCAACCAATTTTAAGTGCTGCTTTTAAAAAGCTTTGAAAACATTTTTAGAGTAAATAGGCTATTCCTCTCTTTCTTATCAAGGAAAACATTCAATGTCAGATAATAGGGGAAGAAAGAAAATTACTCTTTCAAATCCTGCAAAATATAAATTACGCAACTTTTCCTTGGTTATAGATAAAAAATAATATATTTCTTCAGTGAAAAAGGAAAATATTGAGTCAGATATCTTTTTTGAAGAGTAACAGAATAAAAAATTGAAAATTTTATTCCAGTTATAGTATTTATCCATTTTTAAAACAAATGTGGTTTATAGCACATAAAAAAATAGAGACTGCCTAAATCAAAGCAAACAGAGATTGTTTATTCTATCCCCTTGCTTTAATGGTTAAGGAAACAGAGCGAATGATGCATTGGAGAATGCATAGGGCCAGAGCATAGGTTCCCTGATGGAAATTACTTTTTAATAGTAAACCTTCAATCATAATTGTTAAAGTTTAATCTACTTTGAAACCAACAGCATTCAAGAGATGCTAACACCACGAAAATTTTAAGCAGAATTCGGTTTTGAGCAATTCACAAAGTTGTAGTTAAAGGAGCATTTAAAAAAAAAAGTTGTCTGCTAATTTTGTTTCATAACAACATTTTTCCAAATTCTAAGATTCACTTTTGCTATTTTTTCTAAATATTTTTCTTTTATAATTTCTACACTTTGTTGGTATTTAATAGATAATATTTAAAACGTTTTATAACAACCTAGATGGCAGTACAGAAACAGGAAGAGAAAAATAGTGTTGGTTCAGAATGTTTCTCTGCTATTTGGGAGGCCATTTAACATAAAAGATAAATTCTCTCTCCCAAGCAAATGTCTTAGAAAAGGGTTACATCAATGAGAGTAGGAAGGCTCTAGACCAGCACTATTCAGTAGAAATATAATATGAGCCATTTGTGTAATTTTAAATGTTCTAATAGTCACATTAAGAAAAGGAGCAAGAAACAAATGAGATTAAATTCAAGAGTATATTTTATTTAAAACAACGTATCCAATATATTATTATTTCATGAAGTATTCAGCATAAAAATGTTACATATAAATTTTACATTATTTCCTCATATTAAGTCTTTGAACTCCAATGTGCATTTTATATTGACAGTAAATTTCAACTCACGCCAGCCTCCTTTCAGGTTTTCAATAGGCGACTGTGGCTAGTGGCTACTGTTGCTCTAGATTATTTTTTCTGGTCAACGATGAACTTGTCAGGACTTTACTAGCATGTTAGAGCTGGTCAAGACCCCTGTGCTACTACCACAGGTCACTGGCATCACATCGACCAACCTTCCACCATTGATCCCAGAGGGAAATGAGGAAGAACCTTTGCCTCTTTATTTGCATCAACAAGCTATTATGTAAAAATTAAGGGCAGAAACCCCAAACTAGAAAAATCGAGGTGCTTATATGAAACAGATTTAGGATGAAGTTCCTTTACCTGGCCCCAGCTGGAGAATCTGGCCTGAGAGCCTTTTCTTAGTGCTAGCTCTGAAATTCCATCTACCCCCTATGTTTATGTCTCTCCCTGTTGGACTGTTCCATCAGCTTTATATCCTCAGTCCCCAACACATAGCTGCAGCCTAGCAGGTGACTGTAAGTGTCTGTTACACTGATCTAAGCTAATAAGAACCTCTAAATATGAGGGAAGGAAGAAGAACTTGGTGTCTTGTCAAGTAAGATGAAATTCATTCTGTAGACAAATTGAACTTACACTATCTACAATTAATTGACAGGGACACTGGATGTTTAAGAAAGTCTTCCATAGTGTACCCACCTCACTATGCTAGAAGTTTTCTTCAGCCTCTTGCTATAATCTTACTCAGAAAGATTTGAAAATAAAGCTTACCTCCTAAGGAATTCAAATTTACTTTAAAGCATTCTTTTTATTATCACAACTGTGCCTTCAAAGTGATATCTCATAGGTGATGAGAAAATGTCACAAATTATTTTTAATTAATATATCAATGCTACATTATTCAATGGAGAAACTCAAGGCACGAATGCAATTTTTCAATAAGAGCTGAACCTGTAGCTTCATGTCTTCATCTGATGCACATATGGAGACAGAAGAAAATCTATTTAAGTATCAGTATGTTTGTCATTGGCATGTCTGTCTTGGAGTCATCATTGAAGCATTTTCAGAGTGCAGAGGTAACTGAAAGAAGTACTTACAAATAAAAGCCAAACAATGTTAGGTTAGGCAAGTTACTTAAGCCTCTTAAACCTCCACTTCCTTATCTGTAAACATAGGAAAAGAATAATGCCTAACTCATAATGGGCTATTGTGGAGGCTTAGATAAGGCATAGATTTGTGTTTAGCAAGAGGACAGGCACTAGGTAAAGTCTTAAGAAATGGTAGCTATTCATATAAACACATTTGATTTCTCAAAAATGAGGTAAAAGGTAGAGGAGGATAATAGTAGATAATTTATCTGTTCTTTGCTAAAGCTGGAAAAAGTGTGAATCATGCTAATGACTGTTTATTTTACCAGAATAAACACAATTTCAGACATATCATGACTCTAAAAGGAGGTGATGATTCTACTTCCTGCCAAGTCATTGGGTATAGATGACTTAGTGGCCCATATTCTTTGAAACACCCTTATTTAATGTCCAAGATATCTCTGGTTTTTTTCTGTCTGGAGACATCCGTGCTCACAGAGGGAGAGGGCAACACCCCGTGGTTAGAGATCAGAATGTAGAGTCAGACTCAAGGACAAATATTCCAGTCTTGCCACATACTCTTGAATCACCTTCAAAACATCATTTGGATCTAGAGACTGCAAAACCTTTCCATCTTTCAAGCACTTTAGAACCTTCAAAGTTGCTCAAAGGCTTGGAAACCCAATGAGATATTATTGGAAGAACTATGTAAATGTATGCATGCTTTTATCCGATAATACTCTAATGACTACAATAATGACTTCACTGTAATAAGCAATTGGGTGGAAAGGTTAGGCAAATAATAGAAAACTTGGAGAGTAATGTGACTTTTATCTCAATGGAAAAGGAACCTAATCTAAAACTGCTCACTGAATTGGATCTGGCCTGTACCCTTTGTATCTGTTTCAACAAATGGGTAAAGTACAATCACAACCCATCGAATTTGTTCTCTTAAGTAAGTCTTAAGAGGCTCCGCCTTCTTAAGTATATCATTAGTTTTCTTAGCAAGTCCTTTTCTTACATAGAATGCAATCGTAATCTGCAAGTTAATTCAAGACAAGGTATTACATTCCTTAAATTATTGGAAAGTATACATTTTTAAATACATTGAGTGGCTGACTCAAACATGTCTATAACTACTGATGGCAAAGAACATGGTCTCTTTATCAGGAATGTCTAAGTTATTGACATTGGAGTCACACAACCTGGTGCTAAATTATCAATCTGCCTCTTAAACTCTCATGTAACTAACGTTAAGTCCTTTAAATGAACTGAGCTTCAGTTTCCATATATGTGAACTGTATGTAGCTAACTTTTCCTTCTCTATATGCCACATAGTATTGTTAGAAGAGGGAAATGAGAAATTGTTATGCAGCCTAAAGATAAATAACAATAATATTCCTTTTTTTTTTACAATTTTATTTTTCAAATTTTATCGTAGTATGACGTATAGTATTTGGGTAGATGAACAAAAGATTCATATAAAATGTTAATTTCTACATATTTCAAAAATGGAGTTTAATGAGGCCATTCAAAAATAATATTTCCTTTTTTGGCCAGGCACTGTGGCTCATGCCTGTAATTCTAACACATTTGGAGGCTGAGGCAGGAGGATCTCTTGAGCTCAGGAGTTCAAGACCAGCCTTGGCAACATAGCCAGACCTTGACTCTACATTTTTTTTTAAATTAGCCGGGCATGGTGGTGTGAATCTATAGTTCTAGCTACTCAGGTGTTTGAGGTGGGAGAATCACTTAAGCCCAGGAAGTCGAGGCTGCAGTAAGCAGTGGTCATCCCATTGCACTCCAGCCTGGGCAACAGAGTGAGATCCTGTCTCAAAAAAAAAAAAAGAATACCTTTTTTCATGTTTTATAATTTTTTTCCAAATCACTTTTATGCATGGTCTCAATTTTCTCCTCATGACCCAGTGAAAGTAGGTAGTACAAGCACTGTTTTCATTCTCAGATGTTCCAACTGAGGTAAAGAAAGCAACTTAATCAACTTAACATAGATTTCCATGAAACAATGACAACAACGAAATCAGCCTTGCAAGAAATTTCCACTCTAACACTCATTTTCTGCCACCATAATTTTTCCAGGGTCAGATGCTTAAGGCAATGTTCTAAGTTCATAATTAAGTTTAGTTGCATGCACAATTTGGGTAGTTAAGTAATTACATGATTTGCACATGCAAATACTGCAATCATTGGCACATAAAAATAACGTCCTTTAAACATCTGGGCCTGATGGAGGACAAATGGTCAGGAAAATCAGAATTTCTGTGGTTCCCCAAAGGGATCACTATAAACAGGAAACACTACAATCTGTTCTCAGACATTTAGAAAATCCACTCACTTTAACCTAGAGAAAAGAAGCAACATGGAGGCATTCTAACTTCGACTTCTCCTCTCCAAAACTATCCAGGTACCGAATAAGCTATTTGTAACCATGAAATGTCTGAACACTAATCAGAACATTTGAGTGTAAAATACAGTCCTACCACTGAAGAGGTTGAAAAGTTTTGAACAAATCACTTAATCCCTGAGTCTCCTAATATTAATCTCTAAAATAGGAATAATAACAATATCAACACTATAGGATTGAAAAGAGAAATAAATGAGATAAATTTCGTGAAAGTTTTCTGTAAATGCTGAAATCCTGTACAAATAAGATAAATTTTTATTAGGTTGGATATGTATATGAGGCTATCAAACATCCAAAGATCCCAATAGACACAAAATGGTTTTGTTTGATTATTATTATTATTATTATTTGGTTGAAAAACTAGCTATCTCTAAGAGAGCTAAGTACTTTTAGTACATTTCCTCTCTCACCCTGAAAAGAAGTATAACATGAAAGGGAAATGAACTTTCTTTTATATCCAGAGGTGATGTGGCCTCTGTTAGTCCTGTATCTAGTTTGTGAACCAATAATTGAAGGTGGATGACAAAGAAATTGGCAAGAATTTCCAAGGAGGGCAAAAATTCACGTCTGTAATGTTAGAAACTAGGCCCGCTGATAAAAACAGGGGGCAAAACATTTTTTATTATTACAATAAATTCATGAGTTTTGTGACCTTGCTACAGTTTTTAAGGGGTACGAAAAATGTTTCACATCTGAGGCTGAAAATACAGCCCTGACTGAAAATGTAGCCAGATAAATGTATGTGAGACATTGTGCAGAATGGTCTAAAACTAAAATTCCAAGGCATCAGAAAATGTTTTCATTAGAGAGCTTGTGTCATTTCCTTGTGGGAGATTGACAGACATATTTGTAAATTTTGATATGATGAACCTGTAAGAAGGTTAAAAAAGGAATTGTGGGTCATGTTAAAAGATTTCCCAAGAGATGTAATTCTAGAGTTGTCCTACTCCATTCTTTCTCACACAGGAAAAAAAAAAAAAACACATTGATAAAAATGTGTGTCCTCTCCTTCCCAAAGCCCTCTTTCTAACTCAGATAACAGTATGGTTCCACGGAAAAGCAATGGCTTTGGAGACACGGAGATGTTGTTATACTCTAATCTCATCATTGGCTGGGTGCATGGATCTGGCAAGATAATAATACTTAAACTCAGGCATTTTCATTTGAAAATATCTAAAACATTCTCAAATTCTAAGTAAACTGCAAGGGAGATTAGGCACAGCTTCATCAGGATTCCAACATCACCAGGACCCAGTTTCTAGCTCTCAGATACATCCGTATGGCTACATATGGTAGGTGGCAAGATGACAGGAGTAGTTCCAGCCTGTGATTCCCAACTAAAGGCCAAGAGAAAGGGCAATCGTGTCTGTGGCAGAACTTTCCATACACACGTATTTGATTCTGATTGGCTCAAAGGTATTCACAGTGGCCAGGCATCTGGGGACTCTGCGTCTGTCAGAACACACGTGCTGAATTTTGGACGAGGCAGGAATTCTGTGTACACTTTTTTTCCAGAATTTCAGGAAATAGACTGATGGCAGAAAAAACAGATACCCTCTACAGAGGTTTAGGGATAACCTATGTAGGGACATGGTGGTGAATACGAGGGCTTCATTGATAACTTTTTCAATGTCTACAGTTCCAACATTTTAGATACAAAGTGAAGATATCACTTTCTTATTTTATTTCTTATTCACAGATAAAATCTTCATCCGTCAAATTTTGCTCCCCATAGGTGGCCTTCAGACACTTCTTCCACAAGGAAATTGGGCAGCTTCCTGAAATGAACAACCCGTAAAGCCATGGGAATTATGGATCAGCTCCCAGACCTTCCGCTTCATGACTGCAAGCCTTTGTGAAAGTTTCTGACCTCTTTATGCTTCAGGAATCTTAGCAATGAAACAAGGATAATGGCACTTGCTGTGACGATCATGGTAAGGAGTGGAGATAAAGATTAAAAGATCCTACAACAGCGTCTACTACAGAGCAGATGCTCAATAAATGATTCTGATTATGTAGCTAGGTCAAGGTCTTGAGATCTATTTCTTGGGGCTTCCTGTCCCACTATCACCATCATATCCCATCCAAATGTCAACATTCAAAATGACCTTCATCTTTCACAATTTTGAAGAAGTTGGTGGTCTAAAAAGATCTAGAGGCACAGCATAACAGTTTGTAGATCCTTTGAAGGGGCACTGCTGTGCGAAGAAGGGTTTCCATCATAGGACAAATGTCTGTTACTCTCAGTACTAAAAATTTTTCTAAAGTACTGAAACTCACTTAAGAAATTCAGAGAAATAACCAAATTAGAGTGCTTTATGAAAGGAAGGCTCTGTCGGGAAGTTGGCTCACTAAAAACTAGCTGTTTCTTATTTATCAGCAAATGACCAGCTGCAACAGGTCAGCCTAAAAACCCTTGCTATTTGACCTCATCAGCAAGCACCCCGCAATAGGTCACCATTGCTTAATTAGACAAGGGAGTGTTCAAATGTAATCTCTTTGCACTCAGCAGGCCGTGGGTCAAATAGAATCTGACTAACCTGCAGCTTGTGTTTACACAGCTTCCAACAGTTCAAAAAGCCAAGGGAAGATCAGAAGCTTATCTTCCAGCCAACTGGGGTGGGTTGGTGGGGGTTGGTGGAATTTGACAGAAGCTTGTAATCAGCCACATTGGAGGATGAGGGGAAGGCCTGTCATCTGTTTTGAAACGTGTTACGACAAGATGTTACATTTCTGGAAACCTGGGTGCAGAAAAAGGTGGGCAGATTCCATTCTAGTGGTTTAATTAAGAAGGAAAGTAAAGATCTAACGTTAAGTCCAGCCCTGTTGTCTGGACCTCCTCTCTCGGGAAGCAGGGGTAGTGGCAGGGGAGGCTGGGGGAGAGGACAAGGGCACTGGGATGTGCCGGCCAGCGCGTGGCAGCTGTTCATGGTGAATCCTATTCTAGCTCATGGCCATGTGTTCCAGCCCTTTTGGAAAATTACCTCCAAATAACAGATCACGAAAGAGCAACTCCAACAAGCCCTATAATTTAGTCCCCAGAGGAAATTCTTCATTCATCAAGTGTACAGGAGGCTAAATTAGTTCTATACCCAAGTGGGCCCTGGTTGGCAATTTTATGTGAGGGTAAACCCTACCTTGGGGAGGAGTCCAGCCAGAAGGGCTGGTGGCCAAGTGCTGCCTGGTGTCCAGCTGTGTCAGACCACATATTGCACCACAGATTGGGGAGAGTTCCTGGGGAATATCTCTGGGACTCAGTCCCTGTCACTTTTTTTTTTTTTTTCCAGATGCACTTTTCTGAGAGTTTGTGCGGATTGAGTGAATCTGCTTCATTTCAGCCCGAAGTTGCTGGAGGGTCCTTCGTCAGGAGACAGTATATATAGACTTGCCAGAAGTGCAATAATTATTCAGTCTCTTTCTCAGTATTAAGCCAATGTACAAAATAATTACACATCTGCTTCTATAGTATGCACAGATGTTGCTGTTGTTGTCATTGATTTGTTCATTTGTTTTTGTTCATCTTCCATGAATCTATTCACAGCCGGGAAGCCAACTCCACTGTTGGTGGACATTAAAACCTAAACAAAACAAAAATTCCTTAGAAGACAGTTAAAGGACGGGTACGTTTAAGAGTATGTCTCTTTTTCCCTCAGTCAAATCTTTATTTTTGTAAACTTTGTTTTATCTTAATTGAGAGGTAGTTGAATTCCTCAGGTGTACCAAACATTTCAAGGTCTATAAATAAGCCAGTTTTCTTCATGCGTAATCAACATGTTGCCTAGAACAAGATACTTTTTTAACATTCCCTACATTTTAAGAAAAGTGATGTTGCTAAACTTGGGTTACATTCTGAAGCTAAAAATCTTGTTCCTCTTCTTAGAAAACTTATTCACTGTCTCCATCTAGGAATCTGGATAAAACTACATGCTTCTCCTCTTTGCTATCTTTTTAGTAATCTGAAAAAAAAAACCAGCCTCATTTGTATTTATGAGACTTCTTTTTACTTAAGATTTTATGAGCAGCCACTCTCTGTAAATCAGAAGTTTGCTTTGTGAATTCACTGAAATGCCACAGGCAGGGCATGTTTGGAAAGAAGATTTGTTAATTTGTGGAGAAAACGATCCTGTAGAAATAGAATAAAGATACTTTCATGAATAGTAGAACAAGAATTCAAAATTAAAATTAAAATACTACATTATATATTTTATATATGTATATATAAAACTAAGTTCAAATAAGACTATGCAAATAGAGTTGATTGAATTGCACAGTTTTGTCAACTTGTTTATTTTCTGTTTTCTATTTCCACGTGCCCAAAGAGACTGACACAAGCATTACATCTCTAAATTTGTATTCATTGAATGTACAAAAGAAGACAGCCATTAAAAGTACAGAAGTCCCTCTTCTGCAAAAAACAAAACAAAACAAAATTCTAAGGAAATTCTTTCAAAATGATGAAATGCATTTACTGTTAATTGGGTAGACTAATAGAAGTGGTTATATATATAATATATATTTATTTATTTTAGATATATATATATACTTTGAATATACTTTCACTTAAAGTGTTTATGTCAAATGAAGCATTTCTTTGATCAAAGACAAACCTGCCTGCTTAATTTCCAATTTTTTCCCCCTTAGAATTGAGTGGGCAAGAAAAGCATTCAGAACTTACTAGAAAACATGCATGGTCAGAGTAGAAGAGGGAATAAACATGAATTCATTGCTTATTCACCTGGGTGCTATGAGTTTAGTATACATTTGACTGTTTGCCTTTTTTTTTTTTTTTTTTTGAGACAGAGTCTCGCTCTGTCGCCAGGCTGGAGTGCAGTGGCGCTATCTCAGCTCACTGCAACCTCTGCCTTCCAGGTTCAAGCAATTCTCCTGCCTCAGCCTCCCAAGCAGCTGGGACTACAGGCATGCGCCATCATGCCCAGCTAATTTTTTGTGTTTTTAGTAGAGGTGGGGTTTCATCATGTTGGCCAGGATGGTCTTGATCTCTTGACCTCGTGATCCACCCGCCTCTGCCTCCCAAAGTGCTGGGATTACAGGCATAAGCCACCACGCCCAGCCAAAAATTTGCCATTTAATAGCAAGCAGAGGCAGGGGTGCTGGTTAAGTTTGTGGGACAAGCCAAGAAGGTTGGAGGCTTGCCCAGCTCACAATCATTTAAACTCAGACTAAAAGACTAGAACATAACTTGTTAGTGATCTTGACTCATATTTGTAGAGACTGTAAGTCCCAGGCAGATAGGGCCAGGGTTACTATAGAAACACAGATACTGAGCATGTCTAATGGAGAGTGAAAGTTCGGATTAAACCAAAGTCTTCATCCTCCTCTAACCTGTGCATCACCCTTCCTCAAGTTAGACATTTGGCACTGCACAAATTCGTTGCACATTTTTAATTTTTTGGCATGAGGTCTCCTCTAAGAAAAAGCTCACCAGGTTGTGATGAAGAGATGGAAGATGTTGAAGCATGATGTCTTCAAACTACTCAGAGAAACTTGTGGATGTGAAAGCAAGTCAAAACTATATCAATACAATTGCTACTTCTGTTTTTATTAATTCACAGATAATTACGTGGGGCGTGTTATAGACCCAGGCACTCTTGTATTTGCTGGCACTGTGCTAGAGAATAAGACAGAACACTCGGGGTGTTCCTTCAAGTGGGTTGGAGTTTGCAAGGGTTGTGAGGAATAGACAGTAAACAAAAAAATGACAAACCAACAGGATAAAATCATTTAATAGTATGCACTATTAGGAACAGAGTGTTGGGCCAGAAAGTGACTTGATGACTGCTATGGATGGGTGGTCATAGAAGGCCTCTCTTGGGAGGCAACGTTTAAGCTGAGACCTAAATGATAAGAAGCTGTGAGCCATGGGAACGGCTGGGGAAAGACGACTGGTGAAGAAAATAGTAAGTGCAAAGGCTTAAAGGCAGGAATGTGCTGGGTATATTCTGGGAATAAAAAGCATGCCAGTGTGGGTTCATGCCTAGTAAGAAAGGAGAAATGGCACCACGTGAAGTGAGGGAGAGAGGCAAGGGCAGGATTTTGCACAGCCTTGTCAGCTTAAGTAAAGGCTTTGATTCAAGTTCAATGGTGAAGAACTGGAAGGTTTTTATTTGGGAAATACATGATGTGATTTAGAATATTACAAAATCACTCAGGTTTCTTTTCCAGAATGTGCTGAAGGAGCATGTGGTGAAATAGAAGAGGAGGCTCTTACAGTGATATAGGCAAGTAAAGGTGGCAACTTGTACAGGAAACTTGGCGGTGGAAATAAGTCAATGTATGCAGGATATATTTTATTTCACTAACAAAGTTGACTATTGATTACATAAAATGTCATACATGAGCAGATGAGTGGAAGGGGCATTCAAAGTTTTATGGTTTAAGGAGGACTGCTTTGGTTCTTTTCTACCTAATCTATTCTGCCAATTTTACCAACTGACAGTAGAAAAGTTACCAAATTGCACTCATGGAGCTTTTCTCTTGGTGTTTACCGGTTTGTATTTCTACAGGATTTCACATCACATAACATATTTCAAATAAGAATGGTATATTCTTCTTAGGATAAAAACAGACATGATTTGTGTGGCTGTTTTAAATTTTCAAATAAAAGATTGGCAGTTGTCACAAGACACAAGGAAATTCATCTCCCCATACATTCCTTTAAATGACATTATGTTGAGCAGGAAGGAAACCACAATGCCACTCCCTCTGTCCATAACTTGTGAAAAATGGAAAATGGTCTTCACATAGAGTTGATGAGCATTGAGCAGAGGGGGCATGACATAGGAACCAGTTATGTGACATAAATTTATAAATGTATCCAAGAGAACCAGTTATGGATCCATGGTCTTGAGAGATCTTGAGCCTCACAGACTTTGTGGATGAGAAGGTGCTCTGCCACCCTGTAAAACTACGTGTTTCCAAATGCTTTATTGGTTGCCTGGCCATGTGGCAAACTCTCTAGAACAACGTTGTCTAGTAGAAACATAAGGTGAACTACATATGTAAATCTGCATTTTCTAGTAGTCATTAAAATTTTTTTAAAAAGTAAAAATAATTTCAATAATATATTGAACCCAGTCTGTACACAATACAATTATTTCAACATGGAATCAATATGCAAATTTATAATGAAATATTTTACATTATGTTTTCATGCTAAATCTTGGAAATGTGGTATGTACTTACAGCACATGGAAGTTAGACTAATAGTATTTCAAGTGCTCAATATTCACATGTGGCTAATGGCTACTGCATTAGACATCACAAATGTATAGTGCAAGTGTGTGTGTGTGTGTGTGTGTATGCACACTAAGATAGCATGTCCTCGAATAACATCATGTTGTTCAATGTCATTTTGTTATAACATTGATGAGTGAAAAAAATGATTTCCAGGTGGGGCCACTATCTCTGTGGCATTTGCACACTCTCCCTGTGTCTTCGTGGATTTGCTCCAGCTCCTCTGGTTTCTTCCCACAGCTCAAAGATGTGCAAATTAGGTGAATTGGTGTGTCTAAATGGTCCCAGTCTATGTGAGTATGGGTGTGTGAGTGAATGCTGCAATGGAATGGCATCCTGCTCGGGGCTGCTTTCTACCTTAGGCTCTGGCCACCCATGACCCTGAACTACAAAATATAGGTAAATAATTATTTTACTTGTTTTTATTAATCTTTCTTACATGTATATACAGCTAACATGTATTTCAATGTTTAATATTAGAAGTGTTTTGGGACATCATTTAGATGTTTGGTAATGTTTTTGTGACCAGAAATATGCCATAGGAAGTTAACTCTTGTTTATATCAATTAGCCTGTGGTAAAATTGTTTTCATTATAATTTCTTTTACTACAAGTGGAAGTTTGCAAACACCTGTCAAGGATGTTAAGTGAAGACTTACTGTGTATGTGTGTCTGTTGTGTTAGCAATAATTTGCTCTCAAATGTTCAAAAAGAAAATAATGGGGCCGGGCAAGGTGGCTCACACCTATAATCCCAGCACTTTGGGAGGCCAAGGCGGACGGATCATGAGGTCAAGAGATCAACACCATCCTGGCCAACATGGTGAAACCCCATCTCTACTAAATATACAAAAATTAGGTGGGCATAGTGGCATGTGCCTGTAATCCCAACTACTCGGGAGGCTGAGGCAGAAGAATCGCTTGAACCCGGAGGCGGAGGTTGCAGTGAGCTGAGATCGCGCCACTGCACTCCAGCCTGGGTGACATAGCAACACTCCATTTCAAAAAAAAAAAAAAAAAAAAGAAAAGAAAAAAGAAAAAAAAGAAAATAATGGATGTCAAATTACAGACATGGCCCACTGGTGGTTCATAAATAGAAAGCTAATAACTGCCCAAAATACCTGTAGCATAAATCTGGCAGCCTTGACCTTTGAGAAACTAGAACCACATTTTAAAGACCTGTGACTTTGTTTGAGCTGTTTCTTGCACATTAACTCTTTGCTTTATTACACTTAGAAACAAAAGGAGGAACACAGAAGGGAAAAAAAAATTAAAAGCTGTGGTTTTTAATTCAATTTTTTGGTTTGTTTTATTTTGTTTTTATAGTTAGTCAAAAGGCTGTAAAGTGACAATTACATTATTTCCAAAGTATGTTTCAGAGCACTTGACTGTCCATGCATGACCTTGCCCTTCTACGTTTACATGATGACAATGATAAACAGTTCTCAAGAAGAGAATCTGTATGCGAGATTGCGGCTGGGTGCCAAGGGAAGCATTTTGGTATTGTTGAGATTCAGATAAGTAAACCTTGGTCAGGAAGTATACACCAGATGTGACACACACCTGAACAGCACAGGGCTTCTAGCACCAGCCTCTGAATCTACCTGAATAGCACAGGCATTCCAGCACCAGGCTCTGAATTCACATCAATAGTCATTGTTATACTGCTTGTCCTGGGATGGAAATGGGAACTGTATTAGTCCATTTTCACGCTGCTATGAAGACATACCAGAGATTGGGTAATTTATAAAGAAAAGAGGTTTAATTGACTCACAGTTGCACATGGCTGGGGAGGCCTCAGGAAGCTTACAATCATGGCAGAAGGCAAAACAGGCACATCACACGTGGCGGCAGGCAAGAGAAGTGCCAAGCAAAGGGGGAAAAGTCCCTTATAAAACCATTGGATCTCATGAGAACTCACTACCACGAGAACAGCATGGTGGTAACCGAGTCCTTGATTCAATTACCTCACACTGGGTCCCTCCCACAACACATTGGGATTATGGGAACTACAACTCAAGATGAGATTTGGTGGGGACATAGCCAAACCATATCAGGAAGCAACGTCTTTGAAGGCTGAGAGGCTTTGTAAACCTCTCACGCAAAGTGACATAAATTGATTATGCCAATTTAATTATTATCCCAAAGTTTTGACAATTATGACTTATTGAAACTGCAGTAATTCTTGCCAACTATGGATAGATTTAAGTGATAAGAAAACACATAGAATCTTCTGACCTAGCTAACCCTGAAAAGACAGAAAATTCAGTGCTAAGCACTGCATTTTAAATATCTGATAGGTCTAAATGATTTTAGGAGTGATGTTTCTTGAAAAATACCAATTTAATACAAGTACTGTATATTTAATTTTATTTTTCAACTAGGATTATGCTGGCTTTGGACGGCTGTATAACTCACACATTAATCTACATCCAATTTCAAATTTCTACATATAACTGCAAAACTTCAGTTTTTGGCCTCTTCTTATCCAAAGCACATATTTCAAATGTAGTTTACAATTTTATTCCTTCAAAACCTATTAGCAGTAAGATACCTTAAGTCATCATTTTACTACAAACTTTGTGGAATGATGTTCACCAGAGCTACATAGGGTAAAGAAGTTGAGCCAACCTGCTCTTTACCCTCTACTTGAAATGACAGTAGCCATAATAATCACAGATATTACTATTGATGCATTTTCTACTATGTCCAAAAGGGTATCTACTATGTCCAAAAGGGTATCAAGCGTCTCTCTAAAAATTTATTTTTCTGATCTCCTATCTCTTCATGCAAAGTCAAGTGGCTAATAACATGTTGAGAAGGTTGGCAGATATACAGATGCTTACATTAAGGAAATAGTGCAAAATTGATATAAAAGTTTTGGACCTTACAGAGTTATTTTGTATAAGTGTGCAGGCCCAGGATTAGTCTTAGCTTTGAATCTTAGTATTGCTATTAATTAGGTTATATGAACTTGGAAAGACCACTTAAAGGACAGTTTTCTCATCTATAAACTGCATATAATTATAGAAAACATTAAATTACAAATTTTATATAGGAAAGGAGCTTCCAGAGTGTCTGGCACTTTGCAGCAATTCCCCAAAACTCTTGGGTCCTTTATTAATTCCCTCACATATCTCCACTAATGTAAATAAAATGGATATCCAGTTCTTCTGAAATTAAACAAAAGAAGTAGAAATTATGGTTTATGTGAATACTATATAAAAAATCAAAATGTATGTTCACTATATAGTTTGCTTCCAATTTCCTATCAAAGAACCAAGCCATATGAGTTGCCTTTAGTCTTTTAAGCAGGGACACTACATAATCTGTTATAATATTTATATTTGGACCTGAGAATACAATCCCAAATGTCTTCTTAGTAGAATTTTGAGCAATCTACTGGTGGCATGTGAGGAAATTCTGACATTCAGTTTCTCATGTGGGCAAGGTTTCTTGAGAATTTCTAAGAAAACATTGTAAAGTATTGTCCAGAAACAAAGATTTAAATTCTATTTACTTTCTTCAAGTCATACTTTCCTCACAAATGCTAATAAATATATTTTGCCCCAATAGACAATACGTAATTTACCATCCAATCCTAAAGATAATTTTACACTTCTGTTCATTATTCCAAAAATTTCGGAGAATTGTCACCTTATAATGTTAAATTACCTACTCTTCAGAAATGATTCTCGATGGCTTTATCTGTATTTCTTTTATTATCCATTGAACATCTCCATTATAAAACCATATCAAACACCTTACATCCAACAAAGCTTTCAGAACACATTCATGAATAACTTTCAGGTTGCTTTACAATTCAAAACGTAATGTTTCAGAATTAATTGTTTTAGAAAACGTACTTGGTCTTAATCTTTATATAAATATGCATACATGTATAAACATTCACATTCAACTTTCCATAAATCTATTGGAATTGGAAATATTTTGCTTCTATACATTCAAAATCACATGAGTTTACAAATTAAGTAGGAAATTACACAGATCATCTATAAAACCTCTGAGACCTTGAACTAACTTGTGTAGCCTTCTAAGTCATCAAAAGTTAGCTCTTGAAACTTAAATAACTTTTTTAAAGTTTCTTTAAAGTTAAGTGAAAGAAGCTAAAAAAGTGTCTGTCATTTCTTTCTGTCCTGGTCTAATGTAGCCTTTTGAGTTGTAGGACCAGGTTTTGAGTGACAATGCGCATAAAATACTCCAGAAATCTTTCCAACAAATGATTCCTTGTTCACAACTTCAAAAAGCTGGGCGTGAACTTTATCTCAGTCGGGCTGACAGTGATAAGATTTTAAAACAGAGGGAACATAGACCACCCACAGCCCCGCTGTCTCAAAAGCAGACCCATTATCTGCTTTTGAGCAAACGCCACTATCACAATGCAAGTAGCATCTCCAAACTGACTGTCCTCTTGAATGACAGGCCTTCATGGAGTGTTATCTAGTTGTCTAAGAACAGGAGGGAGAGGAAGGCACATGCTCATTTTCATTTAAATGTGCAGTTCTCACCATTGAACCTGGAGAGAGTGAAGGGGAATACCAATTTACTCACGTGGCTTTTTCTTGGAGTCAATGTGCCCCTAGTGGTACATCGTCTGTGATTTTATTATTTTTTTCTTTTAAATATTGCCTGAGAGATAGTACATCAAGGACTTCCCTATAGAAAGCCATGAAGGAGCTGAAGAGATGTGTCTACATGTATATGAATACTGCCAAAAGTGACCAAGTGGCAGCTGACAGCAGAGGATGTGAATCACTGACCTTGTTGGTTTCTATTTTGCCCACAGAGCAAAAATATCAAAAATAACCTACAAAAACAATCAATAAATAACCTATTATTCATGTCTGGGAACTTACTTTCTAGTTGCCCTCATCTCTCCCATCTCTATTATGAATGAGTAAAATGGTAAAAAATACTCCAAATGTCTCATATCCATTGAAGTCAGATGTTAAATTATTTTAGTCTCATAGCATGTTGCAAAGAAGTCACCAAAAAGAACATGCTGGCATTAGGAGGAGAAGTGAGAAGTCTAGGGACATACCATTTTCTAGCGATAATCCTGCAAGTTGGGGATATGTTATGCCTCAGCAAGGCACACATTTTTTTTTTTAATCATATGACACTCCCTTTCGCCACTGTTCACTTTGCTGGAATGACACACACTTTGTGATTACTAAATGGCACTTTCTTACTTTTATTAATATATTTAATTGTTGATAGAGCATGATGAAACCTTTCTCATCTAATCCTTCAGAAGTATCTAAAGTATTCAAAGATTTAATAAAACACAGCCAAAATACTCATACATCCAACAAGAGTAATCCAGAAAATTACATTGGCACCTTCTCAGTCAGAATAATATTCAGATTTATTATTACATGGCCATGTTGTGTATGTGCTCAAATGTTTCAGACTTTACCATCTCAGCATTTAGATTTGGCATTTAGATACTATTTTTACCTTTCCCAAGTTTCCTGGATGATAGAAGTTCTTACAGTCTTCAGTTAGTCATAGCCTACACTCTACTAACTATCAGACGCTGGAATAATGACAATGATTGAGATCATGATGAATTTCTGAGGCTGGTCTTGTATTTATCAATAAGGTAGTTATCCTTTTATGAGTCACCACAAACCACCTCTTGCATTTGATGCAGGGAGTCCAGAAAGAGACTTCAGAGCAGGCCATTTTTGAGTTACTGACATGGGAAGTGGAAAGTTTGTGTGTTGTTTTGAGAGTTGTTTTGACCATGTCATTCATTTAGAGCTCATTTCTCGCATTGATTACAAGTCTATTCTATCCTCCTAAACTAATTGGTTAAAATTAAGGTGGTTAATTCCCTAATTAACTTACCAGATGAGGGAGTCTTCATTTGCAAGATCTTTGGAAGTCCCATGTTAAACTCCACTGAAAGCCAGTTTCCATCTAAAGCTCAAGACCAATTTAGGAGTCATCTAAACAATTTACCAGTCACCCAGAGTGATGAGAGTTTAGTACTATTATTCTCTTCATCCAGCATCACGAGGTGTAGATACAAATGCCAGCATTTACATCTATCCAGACCCCAGATTGCAAAGACCACATCTCTCTTCTTTTCTTTTCTCTTCTTTTCTCTTCTCTTCTCTTCTCTTCTCTTCTCTTCTCTTTGTCTCCCTCTCTCTCCCTCCCTCCCTCCTTCCTTCCTTCTTTCCTTCCTTCTTTATTTTTTCTCTTTTTTGGTGACTCTGGTGGGACATGAACCATATTTCCTTTTTAACCTGAGCTTCCTTTTACTCTTTGGAAATTAGCCAGCCACTTTTTATGGGCTGTTATTGCAGTGCATGGATTTATAAATGCCCAGAAGTCAAAGCATGTCTCCTGAATGACAATGACATTCATGGCACTGTGCATGAGGCTGGTGACTGTCGAACCCTCACACCTCTATTTTACCAAGACAAAAATGCTATAGTTCCAAAGACAAAGGGATGGAGAATCATTGAGAGAAAGAACATTAGGTTACAGAGGGAGCTCCATGCCACTATTAAAGAAATTATAAAAAGAACAATGTTGTTCTAAGAAACATAAGTACAAGAAGTTCTTGATGTCCAACTAAGTGCAACTGAAGGAGAGAAAATGAGTCATTCAAATGCCAAAGAATGGTCACCCCCACCTGTAAGTGAATGGCTAGGAACTAGCACCATGAAATGGATTTAACCACATGCATCTCATGTTTTTGTGGCACTCCTTGGTCTCGTCATGTTACAAACTACATGTTTTAAGTTACAGGAATTAATAGAAATATTATACAGTCATGGTCATAGACGTTGTTCTGTACTTACTGTGTAGAAAACAACTCATATAAAAAGGCTTCCTTTCCAGGACAGGTGCGGTGGCTCACGCCTGTAATCCCAGCACTTTGGGAGGCTGAAGCAGATGGATTGCTTGCTTGAGCCCAGGAGTTCAAGACTAGCCTGGGCAACAAGGTGAAACTGTATCTCTACTAAAAATACAAAAAATTAGCCAAGCTGGTGTGCACCTGTAGTCCTAACTACTAGGGAGTCTGAGGTGGGAGGATCTCCTCAACTGGGGAGGCGGGGTAATAGTGATCTGAGATCCTGCAGCTGCACTCCAGCCTGGGTGACAGAGTGAGACTGTGTCTAAAAAAAAAAGTACAAGAAGAAGTAGGCTTCCTTTCCATAATTTAAAGATTCAGAGTAAGGAAGAAAATACACACACACACTACACAAAAACACACACACAGGCACACACACTCACATACTATATTACAAATTAAGGCTCAAAAGATTAAAATTAGCAATTACAGTTAGCTTTAAGATATCAAGATTTTTTTAATGTAGACTTGGCATTTCCACACTATTTTTCTATTATTATTTTCTAAATTATCATATTATTTTATATTGCTATAATATACTATTTACATATTACTATATATTATAGTATAATATAGTAAGTTACAGCATACTATATTACTAAATCTATATAATCTATATTATTATATTGTATAGTATGTTTCTCTTACTGTATTCTGCTTCTTCTTCTATGTGAGTTAAAAGAACTTCAGAAGTTTGAGAGACTTTTCTAATACATAATTTACCAGATAATTTTATTCTGCTCAATGAAAGAGGCCAATAGACACTGTAAAACTAAAGGTACATTAAGGTAGATTCAGAATGAAACTTTTCTGACATCCTTGCCAAAGCCAAAATATTGTAATTCTTCCATCTCATCCTTTTACTGGAGTCTTTATGACATTAACAGCTATTTAACATGTGACTTTTCTGTACCAGATGTTTGGATAACTACTGCTGGGTGAGTTCTAAGTGTATGGCACCCGTCCCAAATTCACTCCTACAATACATAGAAAGGTCAGGTACCTTGAAAGTGCACATAAGTTAGCCTGGGTTGAGGAGCACCTAGGAATTGAGTTGAAGCTTAGTAATTCGTAGATGTAGACTATTGTATCAGAAGGGGCTAGCATTTAATTCAAACTATATAATCACCAGTGCTATCGAATTGCAGACCGCAGTAGGGAATTCCTATTGTATCAAAAATTATTCTGAGTAAAGGGACAATCGTATATCAAGTTCAGTTGGCAGTTTCACATTTAAGGCAACTATTATACACATTTCTCTCTCCTCCTTCCCAAAATCTCGTAAGAAAAGAAAAGGAATACATTTTAAGGCAGCAATGAAAAACTGCGATAATGAAGGATGTTCAGAAAGTCCGAAGCAGTTTAGAGCCAAAAGTGATGAGGAACTCACAGTACAACACCGGCTTAGACAGAATTCTTTTTTTTTTTTTACACAGTGAAAGATCTCATCAGAATTTCATCTTAAGCTGATATTAAAGCTTCAAAAGCAGAACTTGATAAGGAGCAGTGGGGACTTTGGAGGACACTGGGGCAGTCTGGTCCCCAAGGTAGCTAAGGACTAAGGCATTTGTCCCCTGGAAAAAGCTGAAAGATGGTCTTTCTGAATGAAATTGGGGATCTTTTCAGTAGAAATTTCAAAGTTATGCTGGGGCTGAAAGAAGAGAAGCAGTAATTCAGACAATGTTCTGTCACGAGAAGGACAAGAGGACTCTTCCCCAATGTCTCATAAGGCAAGCTCTCCATCCACCCTAAGGGAAAGCCCAATTTGCTCCCCACCGGCTCCCTACCTCTCTCCCCTCCATCCCACTTGCCTCTCTACAGAGCCTGAGACCTTGTAATGACCCCAGAGTACAGAGTACATTTTTTTTACATTTTTAAGTGTACCTACTTCAATTCCTGATATTGATCAATCAAACCATTGTTAGCAAGTGTTACCTGATATGCCAAAATACTCTGTTGAAGAAACCAGTATGCAAAGGAAACACCAACTGAAAAAATGACCTAACTCAAGAAAAAACAGATAAGCCAGAACATGGAGGATAATTATAAAATAAATGCAATTAGTCTCTTCAAATCTACAACAGTGCCCATCATGGAAATATTTAATAGTTTTGAGCATGAAGGTCAAGCCTCTGTAATTAAATATGGTCCACATGAATTTATAATGGACATTAACATTTACATACCACATTCTTAGATCATCTTTAAAATCCTCCCAAGCTAAGGATCCATGATTCTATTTCAGGTACAAGTCCTGAGATTTATGTTTCTCATTGGATACAAACAACTACTGGTATTACACAAGGTAAGAAATGAAAATATTCTGAAATTCTGGGAAATCACAAGTGATTCTCTGTTCCATTGAATGTTGAGCCCAAGCAGGGTTAAGAATCTGCAGTGTGGCAATTACCGTGCTGCAAACAGCACACGTGTTCAGTCTTTGCATCATTTATCCTTGTCTCCGTTTGTGGTGTTATTGGCTGGGATGGCAGGGCCCTGGGATCCTGACATAGAAGTAAAGGAGAATAATATTTGAAAAAAACACTTGGCCAGGAGTTAGTATTCACCAGAGTGCTTGTGAGTACTCCTAGGAGAGTATCACACATAATGCATTATCTCAGCACTTGATTTATGAGGCTAAAGTATCTTTTAAACAATGTTACACTCTGTAGTATGAAGATTTCATAGCTAAGTGGGGCGATTGTTAAAACAGTCAACATGGAGAAACTGTGAGAAAAGCCAGCTTCCAAATGGGGGATTTCATCTGTGCGTTGTAGTCACTTTAATCCTCTAAGTATTTTCAGTTTCCTATGAAAAAATTGAAATTTCCTGAACAACCATATTGCCAAGAGTTATTATCCCTTTCACTTACCTTCAAAGAGCCATTATCTACTAAAATGGCTTATATCAAATCTGAGCATTATTAAGATTACATGCAGCTCATCAGACATCCAACTAATTGGAAAGCATATGCCAGAAAGAATATACAGCCTTCCGTTTCCATACAGCATGGATGCTACAAGTTAACCCTTTAAGGAAAACCATAATAAAATCATTAGGGAAACAATGGCTTTTTTGTATTATCAAATACGAGATGTACTTGGAAAAAGTGGCCTTTTTGTAGTAATAAGCAGGTACTTTTTACATTAAAATGGTTTACTAGAAAAGATGCCTGTGTATTTTGTTTGGCTTTATTTTATCGTTTGCATAAGATTTCTGCATCATTTTCAGACAATCCATATCGGGTTCCCTTCTCTCATGCTGTAAGTTCCTCGTGTCAGATTCTGTGCATGTCATTTGTTTGCTGGTTAATCAGCACCTATTAGGAGGAGGTTCAAATCTTTCAGTGAACATTTAGCAAAAATTTATGGAGCATCTCTTCTTTGTCAGGCAGCACTCCTCGGATTAGAAACACACAGTAGCCCCCAAGAAACAAATTTTAATATGATCCTGCTGAACACCAGGGCTTTTTTCATGTACCTGAAATGTTTGGGGGGCACAGGACACTTAAATGCAGTGGGGGTAAGTTTTAGACTTCTGTTTTGATAAAACATCAATGAAGAAGAATCATAACTTTTCTTCCACAGCTTTCAAAGTCGATTTAATGTCCTTTTATCATGCTTCTAAGAATTACAAAGCCAATTTTTCTGAGAACCCAGGGACAAATCCTTTCGTTCTCCCTTCCTGATAGGCTTATGCATTCACCATCAGACTAGCTGTTGGGAGGTATTCCGTCTCCTTACCTGCTAAGAAGAGGAGCAATCTTTAAAGTTTGTTTCTAGATAAAGAAATAAGAGACTAGAAAGAGAAGGTTTCATTTGCCTTTTCCCCCATTTTCTAGTAGGCTTAAAATTCTGGTTGTGACTTTGGGTCAGTGACAAGACAAGAGGCAGAGGTAATGGAAGAGAAGGAGAGAATGAAGCTTGTCTACATCTAGCAGAGGAAGAGCAATGACCCGGAGGGAGTGTGTGCCTGGCGTCTGTCACCACCAGTCCTCAGATAATGCTCAGAACCCTGCTCTCCCAAGTCCTGGTCCTTCCCTGCCCATTTGGGAGCAGGGGTTTTCCATTATGGAATGAGGACATTGTAGTAGCTCCTGGATCTGCATATGCAGTTATTCATTGAATATGATACCTGAAAACGTACATCCCAAATCATTTCCAGCATTGACAGGGGTCGGGCCCCCGGCATTAGGCATGCAACCTGGAAGTCAGCCTAGTAATCAGCTAAATTCTGAGGAATACACCTCGCCGTGAATGAATACACTGTATAAACATAACAGATTGCAGATTCATTCCTCTACTTCCCTTATACTAAGCCCTGACAAGTTAACTCCACTAAGTGTAATGATGTTTGGCATCATCAGCCAAATATCCACTCATCACCTCTCTGCTAATGAGACTATGAGACTCCTAGGATAGGGAGAGCACTGACTTCCCCTACCTTTCCAATTCGGTGGATTTTGTTTTTCACTATGGGGATCACCTGATCAGTGGAAATGTTTACAGGCATTTTAAAAGTCGCTGCTATCAGTCACAGCAAAATGTTTATATTGAAATATCTATATGACCTCACCTTTTGAGATAAATTCAAATAAATGAACACACTTAAAATCTAGAATTCCATTATCGTGTTAGGACTGGAAGAGATCTTTGAGACGACCATCACCAATCACTAAGATTATAAAGTGGAAAAATGGGACACAGATAAGACAGACTTATTCAGGGTCCAAAGCTAGTCACACCTAAAAATTTTCACTTTCTCATCACCCAGCAAGAGAAAAAAAATTAATTATTGTGCTTGGGGATCCCTTCTTGTTAACTGTGCTTTTCTTTTTATTATCTATAGTAATTTATTGTAAAAAGTCTTTTGTTACATTTTAAAAGAAAAAAAGTAGGTGAAGTTTATAGTATTTCATTCAGGTGAGCCCATGCCAAAATTGAAGAAGGGAATTTATGATTAATTTACAAAAGAAAAAAATGATCTGTACAACTATTGAAGTAAAACCTAGAATAGGTCTAGGATTATCTTGCCAGATCAAAGCCCCCTCCTCACCACCTTGATTGAGACAATAGGAAAGTCAACAAGAAAAAAGAGGCACCAAAGGGCAGTGATTAGGAGGAGAGCAAAGAGAGCTGAACTGCTCTGATTAAAAGTTGCATATAAGACTTTAAGGCCAACCAATGTAGACACTAGTAGATAACTTCACAGATAAAAGAATGGATATGAATTGCAGCTGGGGCAATTGGGGTGTTTGAGTAGGAACAGTCTATCTTGTTAGACCAGCAGGTATCCTGCAAGTTGGAAGAGCAAGGTGGACCTTTATCCAAAGCTCTCGGTGGAGAAAAAGGCTCCCACATGGGTGGGGAGCTTTTCTAGCTGCTGCCACTAACTAGAGACAGAAGACAGCAACAACAACAACAAAGAAAGTAACAATCAGAGAAAACCACACAGAAAGAGAGAGGAGGTGACAAAGTGGAAAGAAAAACATATGGCCCAAGTGCCTTAATTATGAATGGATAAAACATCTCTCCCCGAGACCCCTAGTTGAAATTTCTTATTCTAAAATCAGCTGCTTGAAACTTTCTCTCATTTGTGAAGGGTGGGTCTGGGTGAAACAAGTGGGATGGAACAATCAGCGTCTAAAATTTCTTCTGGAGTGCATTACAGACCTCTCACAGCCTCATGAGGTAGATTGGAGCTAAGAACCAAGTTTGCTCAGAATGATTCTTTTCTGGAAGCATCCAATCTCGAGCCTCACCTAAAATATTATTTAAAGCCTGCCAATATCCCAGGATAATTTGTTCTATATATAAAACACCACCACCCCTGAAGAGGAAAAGCTTTGGTAGATAAGCTGCTAGAATCTTCTATAACTCCTCCAGGGCTCTAGTTATTCCTTGGATTGGTGATGATGTGAGCAAAATGGATAATATTTTTAACTTGCTGGGACTGATATTTTTCTCTAGAACACCTCTTATTATCCCTGGATCCCTACTAAGATCAAAGGAATTCCCCAATGCAATAGAACAAGAATATCTATTTTGTCACTATTAGTTAAAAGGCTAGGACTGACAATCCAGGTCTTTTGCTGTAGATCAGCCTCATTAGAAATCTAACCATCAATAAAAAGAAGTCATTTTTGCATTGATATGAAAAAATATTTTACATCTGCAAAAAACAAGTGCTGAAAATAACTTCAAGGGATAGTCACTGGAGATCTAGTTGAACTTCTAAAAAATAAAATTCACAAGTATATGCTGTTTATAAACTGTTCGCTCTATTTGTTTTGATTTGCTCTTCTTCATACTTTTAAACTTGTTGACTCAGGAGAAATATATCTTTCAAGATAATATCCAGGCATTGTTGTAAGTACTCTGAATTCAAGAACAGGTTTGGATGAGAGATAAAATAATGGTAATAATAATTGTGGTAATAATATACTAAATGTAAGAACTGAAGACAGGTTTCATAAAGGGTAGAGTTGTAAAGACTATTTGCTTAGACTTTTGATATTTTACCATGCGTCTTAGAAACAGGTATACAAAAGTGGAAATGGACCATTGCCAGCCACTCTAAAAATTTAGTTAACAGCATATTTATGAAATATATGGAAGGAGGTACATATGGTCTTCCCTGGATATTTATTTCTGTCCTCTCCCCCAATTTTTAAGCTATCTATCAATGTCAATATGCATTGAATTGGTCAGCCAAGGATATCATGTCTCAATGAGCTTGAGTGTATATGCTTAAGAAACCAGAAAGTCAAATAACAGTGGCTGATATATTGTGCCTTATCATATTTCTGGAAAAAAATTTAAGTGTTAAGGTTCTTCATATGTTCAGATATTTAAAGAGAAGGCAAAAATAAGTAAATTATTACATTAGTAAATAATCCTTTTTTTTCCCTTTTTGGTTAGGTTTGCAAAAACGACTTATAGGATGCAGAAAACCCAGTCTCTGCAAATTAGAAAACTTGTCACTTCTTCCAGGCAGATGCAGTCCCTTGCTAGGAAGGGGATAAGGCTTTGTGAAAGACACATGGGCTGGATTTTAACCTTCACTGATCCCACTGGCTGAGTGTCCTAGGGCAGTGACCCAATTATATGCAACGGCGCTGCTTAAGGAGATCTAAAAATTACTCAGCATGTCCATTAAATACCTGTATAAATTTTTATAGACATTTCTTATCCAAGGATGAGTGTGTTGGCTTCATAGGACACTGGTGTGAAATAACAAGAAAGAGAACATGACTAGGAAGAAAGGCTGTTATCCTGGAACATGCATGCTGAACAATCCACGTTTTACTAACCTATTGATTTTTGGAAAGTTTCTTTAAAAAGACTTATCCTTTTTCTGTATTGCCCTACTAAACTAAAGGTGATAAAAGTTTTTATAAAAACAGTGAAGTATTTAGGAAGTGACTTGACAGAATTATCAAATACCCATTCAACTATTCCATATAAAAGGATTAAAATTACAAGACAATAGAGATAGCATACATGGCTTGCTTTCTTTTGTTTTTTGGTTTTTGGGTTTTCTTCCTATCAGATGCCAAGGTGGTCAAAGTTTGTCTTAGGTAGACGAATACAAGCTTTCTTTGAGAAACCTGGAATTTAATATGGGCAGGGAGGAACATGCCGTTAGGTGTTTTATGCTGCTTTGACTCCCTAAAGGGAGAATGCACAAAGGGGCTTGAGCTATGGTTTTTACATCTCACCAGAGGCATCATTTCCTTGAACTGTCTCAATATAGATTCCGTTTTTTAAGAAGGCAAGCTGAGACTTTTTTCCATTACTCTTGGCCGGAATCTGGATTTGTCAAACTGGCCACTGTCACTATTTATGTCTAATTAGAACCACCTGTGAGAATTTGTGTGACACACAAAAAAGGGGTGGAGAGAAAAGGAAAGCTAATGTTCATAATGATTATAACAATATTTAATCTCAAGGCTCATTTTATTTGTTAGAGGCCTGATAATGAGACTTTCCTCTCACATTTTAATATGCACCTCTCCCATTTTAAAAGTTTTTTTTTTTAGATTTTAGCAGAAAGTGTTCAGTAGTTTTATGTGCATGAGTGTGTCCTCCTAAAAACAACTTTTTTAACCCTTTTAAGAAAAAAATGTGCAAAGTTGAAATCTGATTTGGGGTGACACAGTGTGGCTGGATTGTCTTTTTCTTATTGAGATTGGTATAAAGTGAGTTGGGTGGACACCTTGTCCAGGAAACAGCACTGCAAGTGCTCCCGCTCTCCTCAAACCCATTTTCCTTCCAATCACACCTCCCACATTTTCCTAAAGAAAATTCCTTCCAGTCTCAAACTCAATAACTTTGGTCTTATCACAACAGCAAAAACAATTTTGAAAATTTTGAGGGGGCAAAAGTACCTATGTCGGGCCAGGATAGAATTATTAAAGCAGAGAGAGAGAGAGAGAGAAAAAAAAAAAAGCTTGTGTTTTTTCCATTTTCTGTCAACTACTGTAAAATGTCAAATCCTTCAAATGAAGTCCACAGTGATGAAAAAATGTCATTTGTTATGAATAACATTTATAGCTGAACTTTTCATTTAATGCTATGGCCTAAAATACATTTTTACATTTAAAACAATTGCATATTGATTTAAAAGTTCATAAACTTAAAATTCAAGACTAAACTGGATAAAAGAAGTGTTATTAAACCTTTCACATACCCTATTTTTTAATTCTCTTCTCCTTATAAGCTGAATCATAATTCAATGTCTAAAATGTAAAAAATGCAATGTTGAGAAAAAAATACAATCTGAAATCTCCCCCCACCTAAAAACACGTATTTATTATAACAACGTAAGCCCACTCACTAAGCATGAAGAAATTCACAACGGAACTTTCTACATCCTCTCTTACAAACAACAGCATAATTGTTACTGGTCATCAGAAAAATGAGAAGACAACATCCGATGTCTTAACTTCACCCTTAATCACTCAAGGTCCTTGAGTTCTTTTTATCATTACTTTGTCAGCCCTGAACACCATGCTTTCTAATCAGTGGCAAAAGGGGAATCAGTATTTTTGCCTCTTGACACTGATGAAGAAATGGAAACTGACTAGAAATGGAATATTGATAGCATTGGGATTTGGGACACTGTAGTCATAAAAATGCAGATAAAATTGCAGCCTTGGATGACAACTATTTTCTTTATGAATCTTATTGGAAATTGTAAACCTTCTTGATGTCTAATTTCCCTTCAAGGCTGTTGAAGCTCTTTTCAGGCCATGGAGTAAAGGACTTAAATGAGCATTACACTGAGAGACAGATCTAGGTTTGAATCTTGAATCTTGGCTTTTGTTTTGTTTTGTTTTGTTTTTGAGACAGGGTCTTGCTGTGTCATCCAAGTTGGAGCGCAGCCCATAGCAATCCTAGTTCACTGCATCCTTGAACTCCTGAGGTAAAGAGATCCTCCCACTTCAACCCCACCTGCTGGACCGGACTAATTTTTTTTTTTTTTTCATAGAGACTGGGTCTTGTTGTGTTGCCCAGGCTGGTCTTGAACTCCTGAGCTCAAGCAAGTGTCTTTTCTCAGCCTCCCAAATTTCTGGGATTGCAGGTATGAGCCACTGCTCCTGGCCTCTGCTTTTAACCAGCTGAGAACTTGGTCAATCAAGCTGCTTGACTTTTCTCAGTTCACTCAGCTGTAAAATGAACTTCGAAGAGCTGTGCAGATTGAATATGAAGATCAATGCAAAAATATTTAGATAAATTGTTAAAAGTTATCACGGCCAGGTGCAATGGTTTACACCTATAATCCCAGCACTTTGGGAGGCCGAGGTCAGCGGATCACTTGAGGTCAGGAGTTCAAGAACAGCCTGGCCAAGATGGCGAACTCACATCTCTACTAAAAATACAAAAAATTAGCTGGGCATGGTGGCATGCGCCTGTAATTGCAGCTAGTCAGAAGGCTGAGGCAGGAGGATTGCTTGCACCTGGGAGTGGAGGTTGCAGTGAGCTGAGATCTTCCCACTGCATTCTAACTTAGGCAACAGAGTGAGAATATAAGGTATTGCTTGAATTATTGTTTTACATGCTCCCTTGCATCTAGTTCATGTTACCACATTCAAACCCAGTGCTGGAAAAGAACAGAGAGAACATTTCTGTATCTACCTGGTATCTAAATTCCATCCTCTTATCTGCATGATACCATTTGCCCTTTTTATTCTTTGGACTCTTCTTTAAGTTAGATGAGGGACCCTTCACCTTCCACCTTATCTCCCATAACCCACAGAATAAAAGAAATAACACTCTTAGCCCACCCCTGGAGACAACATAACAAGCACCACATTTACTCCCTCAAGTTCATATTCTATCATATTCCAACTCATCAATAGACTTTCTCTACTTGACTTTGAACCACTTTTTGTTTTCTCTTCTCTCTTTCTAATTCTGGATATATAAAATATATAATTTTCTTTTTCAACAGGTGCTGGAGAGGATGTGGAGAAATAGGAACCCTTTTACACTGTTAGTGGGACTGTAAACTAGTTCAACCATTGTGGAAGTCAGTGTGGCGACTCCTCAGGGATCTAGAACTAGAAATACCATTTGACCCAGCCATCCCATTACTGGGTATATACCCAAATGACTATAAATCATGCTGCTATAAAGACACATGCACACGTATGTTTATTGCGGCATTATTCACAATAGCAAAGACTTGGAACCAACCCAAATGTCCAACAATGATAGACTGGATTAAGAAAATGTGGCACATATACACCATGGAATACTATGCAGCCATAAAAAATGATGAGTTCATGTCCTTTGTAGGGACATGGATGAAATTGGAAATCATCATTCTCAGTAAACTATCGCAAGAACAAAAAACCAAACACCGCATATTCTCACTCATAGGTGGGAATTGAACAATGAGATCACATGGACACAGGAAGGGGAATATCACACTCTGGGGACTGTGGTGGGGTGGGGGGAGGGGGGAGGGATAGCATTGGGAGATATACCTAATGCTAGATGACGAGTTAGTGGGTGCAGCGCACCAGCATGGCACATGTATACATATGTAACTAACCTGCACAATGTGCACATGTACCCTAAAACTTAAAGTATAATAAAAAATAAAAAAATAAAAAAATAAAATAAAATAAAATATATAATTTTCTTTTTGAAAATAATTCCTATGTTTCTCCATTTGTTCTTTTTCTTTGAATTTTTATTCATTGAATAAAACTGGGAAATATCAAGGGCTCCCTGAAGTCATACATTACATCAAAAAGGAAAATTATTGTCAATAGTTAAATAAAGATTAGATGAAAAATGTTTAACTTGGGTCTTGGGAAAGCATGTTGTTTTTCCTAAGTGCATCCCCTCGATGACTCAATAAGCATTTATTAATAACCTACACTAGGCTCATGTTTAAAACTTGTGAGAGACAATAGTTGTCACCTTCAAGGAGATTATAACCAGGTTGGAGAATGAAAGCGGCCATATCAGCTAGTTGTGGTTATTTTGGTACTGACTGTGGATTTCATGTTCTTTTGCCCTCCTTCCAGCTCCTCTCTCATAAGCAGCACCCATTCCTGCAAACACAGAATACTGTGTGTCATTGAAAACAGATGGCTCAGGTCCAGGCAATAACCATAAGGGATAATGTACGGATACTAAATAGTATAATTCTAAAAGTCCGTTTATTAGGCAGAGCTGGCTCCTAAAAGGGATGTGAGATGTCCTATGAGAAAAGGAGCTTCCACCAAATGTAATCAAATTACAGAACAGTCACCTCGGTGGGGAAGAGCAGGGGACAGGGTGGGGCTGTAATGAGGGGGTTAATTAAAAATTCTGTTGCAAGTTGGCCATACACAAGCCTAGCTTCTTTGATTGCTTCTGCTAACAGACTTCTTTGCCAGGTTTTGAAGCCATAGAGTCTCCCTTTCTTTGGATCTTTCATCAGTTTTGTAATGATGAAATTTCCTGCATAGGAGGCTTATTTAGGTTTTTATATCTTCCTACTTATTTTATTACCTTTTATATTGCATGTGAGGCTGGATCAGTGTGCAGCAGAACAAAGCTAATTACAACTTTCATGACCTAAATATAGCATAATGACAGAGTGTCATTCAAGAATAGCACTGAGCTGAAAAACCTTTTGGCAGGCCGAGACAGCGGTTATTCAGCTCCATGGAGATAGCTCCAGGGACTGATTGACTCCAGAACTCTAAGTTGCCCAAAAGTTGTGAACAGGTCACTGAGTAATCAGCTTCACTTAGGTAGGAAAGTGAGTCTCAGGTCTGCATTGCTTGATTCATACTGACCCTTACTTTCAGAAAATAAACTGCAAATGTGCATGAAGCTGCTATTTGATAGAGAGGGACAATGTCCCTTTCAGAGATTAGGAAGCTCTAGACTTAGGTGGAAGAACTGATAGAACCAAGGGATCTAGAAGAAAATATTCCTGTAATGCCACATGGAGTTATCTAGAAAACAACAAAATTAGCATAATTCCACCAGTGAATAATTTGTCATTGGGTTTAGTTATCTATGATGCCTATTGCTAACCCCTTGTCTTACATGACTGTTTTTATTCATTTGCTTGTTTTGATGCTTTTTCTTAGAGTTGCTACCTTTAGTTCTATGGACATATGTGTATCCCCTATTTCTAACACATATACACCTCACTCTGGTGTGAGAATTATTATGGTATAGATAAATGTGTGGCAATTGGTGGTCCTAATCTTTTTACAGTCTTTATGTCACACTCAAAAACAAATCTTCCTACCCCCAATTCTTATTTGCCATTGGCAATTTCATTGAGCTGAGGATGTCCAAATTTAGTTACTTTGGTTGTCTTACATTCCACTTGCTGTTCACTCTGCCACTTGACTCTCCCTGGAATTTCGTAGTTGTGCTTTGTAAAAGCTTGTTAATAACATTTAACGAGAACATTAAAAGGACTGCGAGTGAACAGAGAAAACAAAGGACATACCCAGTGCTGTCATGAGAATTCCACCCTCCACCCCAGAGATGAAGCCTGTACTTAGTCTTTGAACCCAAGGCAAAGCAGGTATAGTTTTTATTTATTTATTTTTTCTTTTTACTAACCACTCTGCTTTCCTTTGTGAAAAGGGCTTGAAGAGGCCTGGCCTAGCACTCTCAGAGTGTGAAAAAGGCATAGAAATTAAATATAAGTTAGTTTTTGTTTTATTAGACCAATGGGAATCCTTCTTGCCAAGCCACCATGTTCTTTGTGGGAAACAAACATGGCTTATATTTAGAAGGAGAAGAGGAAGGACATTCATGACGACACCTCACCTGATCTGAGCCTCAGCCTGTGTCAGCTTGGAAATTTATGATGATTATTTCTTCCTATGGGTAAAATTAATTGATGGTGCTCATACACAAAGATAGTTTATAAGAAGTACATCCTAAAACCTTCTGTTGTTAAATGCAAGTACAATTTTAAAAAAAGCAAGGATATTTCAGTATTACTGTTAGAAACTTTCTCATGGTTTCTACGCTATGGAGATGTGGTTTTGTTTGAACTGTGAATGATATTACATTTTTAATATTATACTAGAGAATTTTATTCATTTAAAAATTTTGTCGAGGAGGAGCCAAGATGGCCGAATAGGAACAGCTCCGGTCTACAGCTCCCAGCGTGAGCGACGCAGAAGACGGGTGATTTCTGCATTTCCATCTGAGGTACCGGGTTCATCTCACTAGGGAGTGCCAGACAGTGGGCGCAGGCCAGTGTGTGTGCGCACTGTGCGCGAGCCGAAGCAGGGCGAGGCATTGCCTCACTTGGGAAGCGCAAGGGGTCAGGGAGTTCCCTTTCCGAGTCAAAGAAAGGGGTGACGGACGCACCTGGAAAATCGGGTCACTCCCACCCGAATATTGCGCTTTTCAGACCGGCTTAAAAAACGGCGCACCACGAGACTATATCCCACACCTGGCTCAGAGGGTCCTATGCCCACGGAATCTCGCTGATTGCTAGCACAGCAGTCTGAGATCAAACTGCAAGGCGGCAACGAGGCTGGGGGAGGGGCGCCCGCCATTGCCCAGGCTTGCTTAGGTAAACAAAGCAGCCGGGAAGCTCGAACTGGGTGGAGCCCACCACAGCTCAAGGAGGCCTGCCTGCCTCTGTAGGCTCCACCTCTGGGGGCAGGGCACAGACAAACAAAAAGGCAGCAGTAACCTCTGCAGACTTAAGTGTCCCTGTCTGACAGCTTTGAAGAGAGCAGTGGTTCTCCCAGCACGCAGCTGGAGATCTGAGAACGGGCAGACTGCCTCCTCAAGTGGGTCCCTGACCCCTGACCCCCGAGCAGCCTAACTGGGAGGCACCCCCCAGCAGGGTCACACGGCAGGGTATTCCAACAGACCTGCAGCTGAGGGTCCTGTCTGTTAGAAGGAAAACTAACAACCAGAAAGGACATCCACACCAAAAACCCATCTGTACATCACCATCATCAAAGACCAAAAGTAGATAAAACCACAAAGATGGGGAAAAAACAGAACAGAAAAACTGGAAACTCTAAAACGCAGAGCGCCTCTCCTCCTCCAAAGGAACGCAGTTCCTCACCAGCAACAGAACAAAGCTGGATGGAGAATGATTTTGACGAGCTGAGAGAAGAAGGCTTCAGACGATCAAATTACTCTGAGCTACGGGAGGACATTCAAACCAAAGGCAAAGAAGTTGAAAACTTTGAAAAAAATTTAGAAGAATGTATAACTAGAATAACCAATACAGAGAAGTGCTTAAAGGAGCTGATGGAGCTGAAAACCAAGGCTCGAGAACTACGTGAAGAATGCAGAAGCCTCAGGAGCCGATGCGATCAACTGGAAGAAAGGGTATCAGCAATGGAAGATGAAATGAATGAAATGAAGCGAGAAGGGAAGTTTAGAGAAAAAAGAATAAAAAGAAATGAGCAAAGCCTCCAAGAAATATGGGACTATGTGAAAAGGCCAAATCTACGTCTGATTGGTGTACCTGAAAGTGATGTGGAGAATGGAACCAAGTTGGAAAACACTCTGCAGGATATTATCCAGGAGAACTTCCCCAATCTAGCAAGGCAGGCCAACGTTCAGATTCAGGAAATACAGAGAACGCCACAAAGATACTCCTCGAGAAGAGCAACTCCAAGACACATAATTGTCAGATTCACCAAAGTTGAAATGAAGGAAAAAATGTTAAGGGCAGCCAGAGAGAAAGGTCGGGTTACCCTCAAAGGGAAGCCCATCAGACTAACAGCGGATCTCTCGGCAGAAACCCTACAAGCCAGAAGAGAGTGGGGGCCAATATTCAACATTCTTAAAGAAAAGAATTTTCAACCCAGAATTTCATATCCAGCCAAACTAAGCTTCATAAGTGAAGGAGAAATAAAATCCTTTACAGACAGGCAAATGCTGAGAGATTTTGTCACCACCAGGCCTGCCCTAAAAGAGCTCCTGAAGGAAGCGCTAAACATGGAAAGGAACAACCGGTACCAGCCGCTGCAAAATCATGCCAAAATGTAAAGACCATCGAGACTAGGAAGAAACTGCATCAACTAACGAGCAAAATCACCAGCTAACATCATAATGACAGGATCAAATTCACACATAACAATATTAACTTTAAATGTAAATGGACTAAATTCTCCAATTAAAAGACACAGACTGGCAAGTTGGATAAAGAGTCAAGACCCATCAGTGTGCTGTATTCAGGAAACCCATCTCACGTGCAGAGACACACATAGGCTCAAAATAAAAGGATGGAGGAAGATCTACCAAGCAAATGGAAAACAAAAAAAGGCAGGGGTTGCAATCCTAGTCTCTGATAAAACAGACTTTAAACCAACAAAGATCAAAAGAGACAAAGAAGGCCATTACATAATGGTAAAGGGATCAATTCAACAAGAGGAGCTAACTATCCTAAATATTTATGCACCCAATACAGGAGCACCCAGATTCATAAAGCAAGTCCTGAGTGACCTACAAAGAGACTTAGACTCCCACACATTAATAATGGGAGACTTTAACACCCCACTGTCAATATTAGACAGATCAACGAGACAGAAAGTCAACAAGGATACCCAGGAATTGAACTCAGCTCTGCACCAAACAGACCTAATAGACATCTACAGAACTCTCCACCCCAAATCAACAGAATATACATTTTTTTCAGCACCACACCACACCTATTCCAAAATTGACCACATAGTTGGAAGTAAAGCTCTCCTCAGCAAATGTAAAAGAACAGAAATTATAACAAACTATCTCTCAGACCACAGTGCAATCAAACTAGAACTCAGGATTAAGAATCTCACTCAAAGCCGCTCAACTACATGGAAACTGAACAACCTGCTCCTGAATGACTACTGGGTACATAACGAAATGAAGGCAGAAATAAAGATGTTCTTTGAAACCAACGAGAACAAAGACACAACATACCAGAATCTCTGGGACGCATTCAAAGCAGTGTGTAGAGGGAAATTTATAGCACTAAATGCCTACAAGAGAAAGCAGGAAAGATCCAAAATTGACACCCTAACATCACAATTAAAAGAACTAGAAAAGCAAGAGCAAACACATTCAAAAGCTAGCAGAAGGCAAGAAATAACTAAAATCAGAGCAGAACTGAAGGAAATAGAGACACAAAAAACCCTTCAAAAAATCAATGAATCTAGGAGCTGGTTTTTTGAAAGGATCAACAAAATTGATAGACCGCTAGCAAGACTAATAAAGAAAAAAAGAGAGAAGAATCAAATAGACACAATAAAAAATGATAAAGGGGATATCACCACCGATCCCACAGAAATACAAACTACCATCAGAGAATACTACAAACACCTCTACGCAAATAAACTAGAAAATCTAGAAGAAATGGATACATTCCTCGACACATACACTCTCCCAAGACTAAACCAGGAAGAAGTTGAATCTCTGAATAGACCAATAACAGGCTCTGAAATTGTGGCAATAATCAATAGTTTACCAACCAAAAAGAGTCCAGGACCAGATGGATTCACAGCCGAATTCTACCAGAGGTACAAGGAGGAACTGGTACCATTCCTTCTGAAACTATTCCAATCAATAGAAAAAGAGGGAATCCTCCCTAACTCATTTTATGAGGCCAGCATCATTCTGATACCAAAGCCGGGCAGAGACACAACCAAAAAAGAGAATTTTAGACCAATATCCTTGATGAACATTGATGCAAAAATCCTCAATAAAATACTGGCAAACCGAATCCAGCAGCACATCAAAAAGCTTATCCACCATGATCAAGTGGGCTTCATCCCTGGGATGCAAGGCTGGTTCAATATACGCAAATCAATAAATGTAATCCAGCATATAAACAGAGCCAAAGACAAAAACCACGTGATTATCTCAATAGATGCAGAAAAAGCCTTTGACAAAATTCAACAACCCTTCATGCTAAAAACTCTCAATAAATTAGGTATTGATGGGATGTATCTCAAAATAATAAGAGCTATCTATGACAAACCCACAGCCAATATCATACTGAATGGGCAAAAACTGGAAGCATTCCCTTTGAAAACTGGCACAAGACAGGGATGCCCTCTCTCACCACTCCTATTCAACATAGTGTTGGAAGTTCTGGCCAGGGCAATCAGGCAGGAGAAGGAAATAAAGGGTATTCAATTAGGAAAAGAGGAAGTCAAATTGTCCCTGTTTGCAGACGACATGATTGTTTATCTAGAAAACCCCATCGTCTCAGCCCAAAATCTCCTTAAGCTGATAAGCAACTTCAGCAAAGTCTCAGGATACAAAATCAATGTACAAAAATCACAAGCATTCTTATACAACAACAACAGACAAACAGAGAGCCAAATCATGGGTGAACTCCCATTCACAATTGCTTCAAAGAGAATAAAATACCTAGGAATCCAACTTACAAGGGATGTGAAGGACCTCTTCAAGGAGAACTACAAACCACTGCTCAAGGAAATAAAAGAGGACACAAACAAATGGAAGAACATTCCATGCTCATGGGTAGGAAGAATCAATATCGTGAAAATGGCCATACTGCCCAAGGTAATTTACAGATTCAATGCCATCCCCATCAAGCTACCAATGACTTTCTTCACAGAATTGGAAAAAACTACTTTAAAGTTCATATGGAACCAAAAAAGAGCCCGCATTGCCAAGTCAATCCTAAGCCAAAAGAACAAAGCTGGAGGCATCACACTACCTGACTTCAAACTATACTACAAGGCTACAGTAACCAAAACAGCATGGTACTGGTACCAAAACAGAGATATAGATCAATGGAACAGAACAGAGCCCTCAGAAATAATGCCACATATCTACAACTATCTGATCTTTGACAAACCTGAGAAAAACAAGCAATGGGGAAAGGATTCCCTATTGAATAAATGGTGCTGGGAAAACTGGCTAGCCATATGTAGAAAGCTGAAACTCGATCCCTTCCTTACACCTTATACAAAAATCAATTCAAGATGGATTAAAGATTTAAACGTTAAACCTAAAACCATAAAAACCCTAGAAGAAAACCTAGGCATTACCATTCAGGACATAGGCGTGGGCAAGGACTTCATGTCCAAAACACCAAAAGCAATGGCAACAAAAGACAAAATTGACAAATGGGATCTAATTAAACTAAAGAGCTTCTGCACAGCAAAAGAAACTACCATCAGAGTGAACAGGCAACCTACAACATGGGAGAAAATTTTCGCAACCTACTCATCTGACAAAGGGCTAATATCCAGAATCTACAATGAACTCAAACAAATTTACAAGAAAAAAACAAACAACCCCATCAAAAAGTGGGCGAAGGACATGAACAGACACTTCTCAAAAGAAGACATTTATGCAGCCAAAAAACACATGAAGAAATGCTCATCATCACTGGCCATCAGAGAAATGCAAATCAAAACCACTATGAGATATCATCTCACACCAGTTAGAATGGCAATCATTAAAAAGTCAGGAAACAACAGGTGCTGGAGAGGATGCGGAGAAATAGGAACACTTGTACACTGTTGGTGGGACTGTAAACTAGTTCAACCATTGTGGAAGTCAGTGTGGCGATTCCTCAGGGATCTAGAACTAGAAATACCATTTGACCCAGCCATCCCATTACTGGGTATATACCCAAAGGACTATAAATCATGCTGCTATAAAGACACATGCACACGTATGTTTATTGCGGCACTATTCACAATAGCAAAGACTTGGAACCAACCCAACTGTCCAACAATGATAGACTGGATTAAGAAAATGTGGCACATATACACCATGGAATACTATGCAGCCATAAAAAATGATGAGTTCATATCCTTTGTAGGGACATGGATGAAATTGGAAACCATCATTCTCAGTAAACTATCGCAAGAACAAAAAACCAAACACCGCATATTCTCACTCATAGGTGGGAATTGAACAATGAGATCACATGGACACAGGAAGGGGAATATCACACTCTGGGGACTGTGGTGGGGTCGGGGGAGGGGGGAGGGATAGCATTGGGAGATATACCTAATGCTAGATGACACATTAGTGGGTGCAGCGCACCAGCATGGCACATGTATACATATGTAACTAGCCTGCACAATGTGCACATGTACCCTAAAACTTAGAGTATAATAAAAAAAAAAAAAAAAAAAAGACTCTAAAAAAAAAAAAAAAAAAAAAAAAAAATTTTGTCATGTTCTACTAAGTTTTCACAATCAATCTTCTCTAAACTATGTGAGCTGCTGGTCTTATTGAAAGTTTAACCAGGTTTGCAACGGCCTCATCTATTCCTCAGCCTGCTGTGTGACCTTGGATCTTACCATTGGTTCTCTGCTTATTGGCACTTCCATATAAGACAGGGCAGAAGACACAAAAAAGCATGGAACCCCTGTCAGTCAAATGGACTCCTCTGTAGCAGTTCCAGAGCAAAAAAAATGGGATGAAAAGTTGAAACATTTGACTTTCAAGAGGTTTGGGCATAATATGGAAATTCCATCCACAACTCCTCTATTTACCATTCTTGGTTATAAACTAAATTTCGTCTTTTTCTGAGATTTAAGATTCCTTGTCTATGCTTGGTGTGGCCTATTTACTTTGACAACCTTGCAACAAAATCATTACTATATCAACTTTTCAGCTACTGAGGAAAAAGCCAAAAAAAAAAAAAAACTTATAAACTGTTGTACGAATGTAGCCTTGTGAATGTGGGAAGTGTGAAATACAACTTTTTGACAGCTGTAAAATTGTCCCATAATGAAAATAGGGGGACCTATAATTTAGTTTTATATTTTTCACATTAACAATAGCACGAGTAGCTAAAAATATAGTTTAAGTCATCCAAGTAGTACTTCTCAATATTATGTCTGGGTTAAAAAAATTCAGGTTTGTGTTTGGCTAGGTTAATATAAACAACCATATAATAATTTCGTTTCACAGCCCATCCCGTATTTACAACACAAATGCAGACAGAGTTTATGAAGTCAGACTTCTCTAGAAAACCATCTGAATAATACAAGAGCCATAATTCAACAAAATACCAAAGAATGTATTATTTCTGGTACTCTCAACTGTTCTCTAAACAATATGGTTAGGTGTAGAACAAGGTTTTTATTTTTCTCTAATTGATCTGTATGTATATTTGAAATTTTATGGAACTATAAATAGATAAAGAAAAGTGAACAGCTCAATTGATTTTCACAAACTGAACACTTCCATGTATCCTGTTCCCAGGTTAAAAAAAAAAAAAAAAAGCAACAGGAATATCCCAAGAAGCCTCTTTGGAATCCCTTCAATTTACTACTCCACTCCCCACAACCAAAGCTTCAAAGGTAAATCTCTCACACGTTGATTAGTTTCACTCAATTCTGAATGTTTTATGAATTGAATAAAGGGTAGTGGATTCTAACAATCAACTCACATGTTTAAGTATATTTCCAACTCCAGGACAGAAAATTCCATGGTAATATTCCAATGTTAAAATGATGCAATTTAAATATGCAAAACATAGCCTACAACTTTGATCGGAATAAAAGTCATGACCATGGAGTATGTATTTATGCAAGAAATCTTGGATCGCCTTCTGTCCCAGACAAGATCCTAAGTTATACATAATTGTTGAAGGGATAATAATAATAAATGATTATTGATCTTCCCTGCGTTAGACATGATTCTAAGTATTGATGGGATATATCATTTAATTGTTAAAATAACACTATCTGCTTGGACTCTGTTTCACAGAGAAAACAAACAGGAGGTAACTTACCCAAGACCACTCAGCTAGGATGTGGTGGAGGGAAATGTGGCTTCAAAGTCTGCACATTTAATTTCTAAACCAAAACTTTTTCCATAATATAGGTATCTCTTTACCTTCCCACAGGCAATGCTTCTAATGCAACCACTGAAGAAGAACAAGACTCATAACTTGTGAACACACCTGTTAAGATAATTAAGCAGACGCTGAATGCCCTTTTGTCTCTGTGAAAGTATGGAACTCTAAGAAAGTGGAGCAAACAAACTGGTGTCAACTGTGGAAGGCTTAAAGCTTTCGTCCCTGGAACCTCTATTTAATAGAGTGGAGCAGTCTTATGAGGAAGAGTTAGGTGATAGAGAAAATCATATTAAAGCTAGGAATAAATAAAACTGCACATATTCACATATTTGTAGATCAGTTCTCAGTTACAGGAGATTCTCCCGCAGGGGATATTTCACAGTGTCTGGAGACTTCTGTGTGGTCCCAACGGCGGGGGAGGGTGGATGAAGTAGAGTGGTGATGAGGGAATGGTTGTGTGCCATCTAGTGGGGAGAGGCCAGGGATGTGGTAAACATCCTGCAATGCACAGGACAGCCTCCCATAGCAAAGAAGTATTCAGTCTCGAAATCAGTCGTGCCGAGGTTGAAAACTCCTGAGCTAGACAATGGCTTGGAATTGAAGTCTTCCTACGTTTCTGAATTTTATCCTATGCGGAATAGTGGAACAAGGAGGAAATTTACAGCGAAACAGGCCTGAGTGTGGGCCTAGTGTGTGTCATTGCTGTAGATGAGACTGATGACCACGTTGGACCACCTGCTTTTATGGGGAAAAGACGACAAGCAAGACTCACCTCACGAAGGCATCTAATATAGGGCAGGACCTGTCACTATCCTAGGTGCTGAGAACTTTTCTTATAAGTCTGGATTATAGGATCCTAATTTCTTAAAGAATGAATGGCTAGTGGATAGTAGTTTGTTTTTTTTTTTTTTTTTGACATTTTAGCAGTTTGAAATAAAAATACAAGACAGTTTCCCAAATGAAGTTTAACTTAGCAGAAAAACAATTTAGTTATCAGAATAATTTTTATGCTAAGCACTCTGGTTGGGTGGTAGAAAATATGTTAATCAGATTCCTACTTCGTAGGCAAAGTAATTCGGAAGCATCAACTAAATGCTGTTGTCTCCCCAGAGTTTCCCAAACCTTCGAATACATTAAAATCTCTGTGGGTTTTGGTGAAGGGCAGGTCCTGATTCTGCAAGTCTGGTGCAGGACCTGAGATTCTGGCATTTCTGACAAGCTTCCAGGGTGTATCTCTGCTGCCACTGGTCCTGGGTTTCCCTTTACGTGGTGAACCTCTGAGCTATACAGAATTGTTAAAGCACAGAAAAATAAATGACAATGCTCTTTGAAATACACACGGAAGCTGTAACAATAGTCATTTAGTTTACATAACAGTCGAATACAATAAATAAATGCTAGGCTCCCTCTGGGTAATAAAGCTCAACTTCCTAGACTTATTCCGAAACAATTAAGAAAACAGGTTGAAGATCTTTTAGTTGCAGTGGGGAGATTGAAAAGGATAAAGGCAGATATTAAATCCAAGATTTCTTAGATAGAGCCTGATCATCAGCTTAGGGCTCTGTACTCCTCTGAAGCAAACTGGGCCTAGGATTGCAATGCAGTTTTTGTGAAGTAGTTGAACTTAAGGGATCTCATCATTACTTAAAGCCTCAGACAAGAGGAAGCCCAGAGCTCTATAATGAAAACATTCTGTGGCTGCTGAGGCCCCTAAACTCTGCAAGGAATAGATTACTGTCAGGGGATGTGTCAAAGAGTTTATGTTTAGGGCAATGGAATTACTGTACTTAATAAAGTCTCAAAGGGCTAGCGGTTGACTCTTAAAATTACTGGGGAGACTTTAAAGCTTCATAAGGAAGAAAGGATGGAATGTTAAAAGGACAGAGGCCTATGTAAACCTGGTTAACGTTTTATCACCTGCTGAAACTCTAAACAGGGTCCACAGACAGTCCTCAGAGATCTGCAGATTCCTCCAGCTGGCACATGCGCACACATAGGTTTCTAAGAACTGAATTCATACATTTCATTAGGGTATCAGGATGGTCAGGATAGATCTGCATGTCTCCAGCTTTCTCCTCCTTTTGTAAGTTCTGTGGTTCTAGCTAATGACAACTAACTAATCAAACCATTCCAACTCCTACTGCTCTCCCGCTCCTGGAACATGTTAACTACCAAATTTCCATTCTCACTGCAAATATCTCCAGGATTCTGCGCCATGGCTTGTAAATTCTCTAAATATTAAGCATGTCAGACCACTCTGAGGCACCCCTATCCATGCTCCTCCAGAATCTTGGACTTTGTAACGCCACTTGCTCAGTAAGTGTAGATAAGTGGAAGGATAAAGCCATCATGGATTGGCAAGTTTCACAAGAATGACACGATATGGACACTGACATGTCCTCTCATCTTCCATCCTTAAACTCTTGTTACTGCACCTAAGAAAAACAGACTTTTCCTATTTGAAACAAACTTTATATACAAGAGGTGGAAGTATTTTATTGAGAACTTGAATTAAAAATGATATTTAACTATAAAAACATTAAACATTTTTTGTCTCTTCTCACAAATGCAAATAACCACTGCCTTATAATGCAGACCCCTGAAAAAAGTCTTGCATTCATGTTGTGAATAAAAATAGTACAGTCTCAATAAAATCTGTCATAATATGATATATACCGCACATGGAATGCATTTCCCATTGAAGACAATATTTCTTTATTTCACAAGTGTTTCATTTTCCACTGGAGTAAATGGAAGTTCCTGAAAGTTGACCAAACAAAGGCCAATTTTTTGACACTGGACAGAAAAAGATATCCTGTACTGCCACTTTCCATTAGCTGCAAAGGCTACAACATCTAAGTGACACAAGCTGCAAGTGGTATATGCTTTCCCCCAAGCAACAAAAAAGCATGAAGCAACAGTCCTACTTTAAATATACTTTTACTAGTCTATGACAACAAAGAGCATGTGCTCACATGAGTACTGACAGAGAAGGAGAGAGAGGGAGAAGAAGAGACCAAGGACAGGGCTTGGGGGATCAGAGAGAGATTATTATGAAGAAAAGTAAATTGTTTTAGGACTTTTTTTTCCTCATACTTAACCACATAACGGTAATACTCTGAACATTAACCCACATGAATCATGAATGTCTGGTTGAGTCTATACTATGAATGTCTGGTTGAGTCTATACTAGTCAAATCAATAGTGCTAGATTAACTCTAAGTTAAATTCAGCTCAACTCAACAATCTGGACTGGCTGAATTGGCTACACGAGTCTCAACAGCATTTCTGAAATTGAAAAATTCAATCTAGCTGTTGTTATTTTGGTCACAGTAAAATACAACCACTTTTACTATTTTAAAATTAAATTTGAAAAACCTATTTTTTTTTTGAGATGGAGTTTAACTCTTTTTGACCAGGCTGGAGTACAATAGCACGATCTCGGCTCACTGAAACCTCTGCCTCCCAGGTTCAAGCGATTCTCCTGCCTCAGCCTCCCAAATAGCTGGGATTACAGGCACTCGCCACCATGCCTGGCGAATTTTTGTATTTTTAGTAGTGACGGGGTTTCACCACATTTGCCAGGCTGGTCTTGAACTCCTGACCTCAGGTGATCCACCTGCCTCTGCCTCCCTAAGTGTTGGGATTACAGGTGTAAGCCACCACCCCCAGCCCTAAAAATCTATTTTATGGCATTACAGGCTTATCTTTGAAGTTTTTTTTTCTTTTAATATTGGTAATGAGTCAATTTCCTGGGTCTCGGTGATATCATTGCACTAATTAATAGTACATTCGAAAAGAACATTTAGTTGAAACCATCCTGTGACATATATCACATTGCAGTTGTCCTGTTTCATAAGCAGAATTACCCTAGCTATGCCTGTAGCACTTAAAACTATCTCCCAATCTCATTCTTTTAAACAACACTGTATTAGAAAAAAAAAGTACAGAAAAAATTGTAAAAATACAATGAATTGCCAAATACTTTTCACCTAGATTTGCAAATTGTTACTATTTTTCACATTTGTTTTACCAATTTTTCTTTTTCTCTTTATAGATATAGACGTAAATGTGGCTAACAGTATCAATATGGGTATAAATATCATGTAACTGTGATGTTTTGTTCATTGAACCACTTACAAGTAAGTTGTATTCACCATGACTCTGTCTTTAAATCCTCTGGCATGTATTTTTTAAGAACAAATGTATTTTTTTACCCAATCATGATACAATGATTAAATGTAAGAAATTTGGCACTGTTACAATACTACTATCTAACCTACAGTCTGAATCTAATTTTTGCCAATTGTTCCAATACTGTCCTTTCTTCTTCCCAATGATGCAGGATCCAGCCCAGGATCATACTTTTCACAAAGTTGATATGTCTCTTTACTCTCCCTCAATCTGCATTAATCCTTACCTTTCCTTCTCTTTCTTCAAATTGTTATAACTGAGAATTACAAGACATTGTTTTGTAGAATGACCCTTGGTTTAAGCTTGTCTGTCAGTTTTCTTGTGGTCATATCTAATATCATTTCAAAGCAATGCATAACATTACATTTCAAGTATCATGCTTCTTGAGAAGGATATTAGCATTTCCAAAGAATTATATAAAGCATACATAACATTAAATATACTTATAACATATATTAAATATTACATATATAAAATTCCAGTTGTACCTCCCTCTTCAATTTTGTTAGGTAATAAACATCCCCTCAAGCATTCCTAAATATCACTGGGGGTAGGCAAGCAATGCCTTCCTTTTTTTTTTTTTTTTTTGAGACGGAGTCTTGCTCTGTTGCCCAGGCTGGAGTGCAGGGGCATGATCTCGGCTCACTGCAAGCTGCGCCTCCCGAGTTCACGCCATTCTCCTGCCTCAGCCTCCCGAGTAGCTGGGACTACAGGAGCCCACCACCACGCCCGGCTAATTTTTTGTATTTTTAGTAGAGATGGGGTTTTATCATGTTAGCCAAGATGGTCTCGATCTCCTGACCTCTTGATCCACCCGCCTCAGCTTCCCAGAGTGCTGGGATTATAGGCGTGAGCCACCGCGCCCAGCCAATGCCGCCTTTTAAAATGCACACTTGGATAGATAGGTATAGATATAATCTGATTTCAGAATTGTTTTTTACAATTTACAGTATCAAAATGAATTCCACAAACATTTGCTTCTTTAAACTATTTTACACGAGCTTTCCTTTTCTCTCTGGTTTTCATTTAGTGAAAATAAACATTTTTAAAAATGTTCACATGTCTCACAATTCAGCCTATTTTCCTTATATCTCACTGGTCCAAATACTTCTGTAGAATTAGCATTTCAACTATGCTTTTTGACAGGATATTTAATCCAGAAGTCTTTTAGATTAATCTGTGGCTGTATCTGAAGTCTGGATTTTGTCATCTGCTGCGGAAGTAAAGCAATAGATAAAATTCCATTAACATAAAAATGGGGAAACAAGTTTTTTTTTTTTTTAAAAAAAGCAAGGGTGTCAAAAGAGCAAAGGAGTGGTTTTGACTTTGAGCTCCATTCAATTACAATACTAGAGGAAAAATAATCTGACAAATTTCACAGAAATTTGTAGGAGCCCAGAAGTTGATCCAATGCCCTTTTTTGGCCTTCTGCCACTGGTAGTGAAGGTTTTCCTGTATCGAACAGATTTCTTAGATCCTGCTTATATCCCTCCAGCCACCTCCAGCCATGATAACACCATTCCGAGGCTGCTGTCCTGTGATCACACGAAGTCTTATGCATCCAAAGAAAAGTATCTCTGACCCAGGTACAAAACCCTTTTCTGGATGCAAAGTTCATCTTGAGACTACTATTTTAGAAATTATTAGTGCATTGTATGAAATATATATATACTATCAACCTTTTGAAATTAGTTTGGGCATGATACAGGTCTAGTTTTTTTTTTTTTCCCAAATATATTGATTTATTGACTTCATCAATATTTATTAGGCTTGTACAATATGCTAGATCCATGTGCATAAGAGATGGCTATAACCATGGATATAGCAGTTTCTGCTCTCAAGCAGCTTACACTTTAGTAAGCTTTTAATTTCCTAGGAAATTATACGAATCATGTTGACTGTGGTAATAATAACGTTCAGAAAAGTCAACCAGTCACCAGAGTGATTATCCATAAACAGTAATCAAAAGATAAAGTGAGTTAATATGAAAGTAATTTCCTATAAATCCCTTAAGCACAAACACATAAAAAGTACGTAGGCAAGACTATAAAATAATAATGCCAAAAATCAAATTAAAACTACATTTCAACATAGCCTGCAAAAATCGGCAAGAATTTATATGATTAAAATAAAAACAGTAGATATGTAGTTATTACATGTCATAGGTTATCTTACAAATGTTTTAATTCTCAAAAAGAAGAAAAAAACTGTGAGAGGTACATTACCTGTGTATTTAGAATGGGAACAAAGGTTTAGAAGAATTTAAGCAGACTTGCTTAAATTTGCAGAGCCAGCAAGCAGCTGAGCCTAGATTCAACCACAGTGGGCCTCCAGAACTCATAATACTAAATAATTACAGGCTATTATCTTCTTTTTACTCTAAGCCATTCCCACCCCACTCACAGCTGTGAGATAGACATTTGGCATTTGATATCAAAAAACACAAGTAGTAATAATAGTAATAATTAGTAGTAGGGTAGAAGACAATTAGCAAGTATTTTAAAATTGATGCTATATATGTATTAATTTATGAACTCATTTATTTAGATCATAGTATTTTACATATAGCAAATGCATGACTCTATGTGTATAGTTTTATTAAGACAAATATGTATATTCATGTGACTGTCACCCCAATAAAGATCTAGAATATTTCTAGGGCCCCACAAAATTCTCTCGTGACCCTTCCTAGTCAATCCTCATGCTATCCCCATCCTCAGGCACCAACTGTTCTGTTTCCTGTCACTGCAGATTAGTTTCATCTGCTTTCGAACTTCATGGGATTCTTTAGTTTACCAACTTTCGTGACTGGCTAAGTTGATTTATTTATCCAAATAACTAGATTTATTTATCCAACTTGTTGCATATTATTTTAGTACATTATTTTAGTACATCCAAGTTGTCATACAAAATACCACAAACTGAGTGGATTATGAACAATAGGAATTTAATTATCACAGTTTTGGACATTGGGAAGTCTAAGATCAAGGTGCCAGGCAGATCTGGTGTCTGATAAGGGCCTTCCTCCTGGTTCACAGATGGCACCTTCTCACTGTATCCTCATGTGATGGAAGGGGTGAGGGGTCTCCCTGGCCTATTTTATAAGGGTACGAATACTGTTAATGAGGGCTTCACCCTCATGAACTAACCACCCTTCAAATTATTACACAATGTTGTAATAATTTGTTGTAATAATTACACAACGTTCAAAGGCCACATTTCCTAGTACCATCACCTTGGTGGTTAGGATTTCAACATACGAATGGAGGGAACACAAATATTCAACTCACTGTACATGTATCACTAATTTCTTTTCTTCATTACTTTGTTGTATTCCATTGTAGGAAAACATCAGTTTGTCCTTTCATTATTCTGTCGATGGATATTTGTTTTGTTTTGTTCTTTCCCTATGACTTGGCTTTTATGAATAAGACTGCTATGAAAAGTTTTGTACAAGTTTATTTGTGAGTACATGTACTCATTTCTCTTTGGTTAGATACATTGGAATGGAATTGCTGGGTCATGGGGTAGCTATATTTACTGTTAGTTTTCCAAGGGGGTTGTACCTTTTTATACTCTGGTTGGTTATATAGGAGAGTGCCATACATATACATACATACATATATATGAGAGTGTATATATATATATATATATATATATATATATATATATACACACACACACACATACATATATATGAGAGTGTATATATATATATACACACACATACATATATATGAGAGTGTATATATATATATATATATATATACACACACACACACACAATGGACTACTACTCAGCCATATAAAGGAATGAATTAACATAATTTGCAGTGACCTGGTTGAGATTGGAGACTGTTATTCTAAGTGAAGTAACTCAGAAATGGAAAACCAAACATCGTATATTCTCACTGATATGTAGGAGCTAAGCTATGAGGATGCAAAGGCATAAGAATGATACAATGGACTTTGGGGACTTGTGGGGAAGAGTAGGAGAGGATATGAGGGATAAAACACTACAATTATAGTGCAGTGTATACTGCTCGGATGATGGGTGCACCAAAATCTCACAAATCGCCACTAAAGAACTTACTCGTGTAACCAAATACCACTGGTATCCCAATAACTTATGGAAAAAATATATAAATATAAAAAATATGTTTAAAGATTGAAAAGAAAAAAAGATTTTTCTGGTCATGTCTAAGTCTTCATATTTATTCCGTCATAATTTTTGTTTTGGTTTTGTTTTTGTTTTTTTGTTGTTTGTTTGTTTTGTTTTTGAGACGGAGTCTCGCTGTGTCGCCCAGGCTGGAGTGCGATGGAGCGATCTCAGCTCACTGTAAGCTCCGCCTCCTGGGTTCACGCCATTCTCCTGCCTCAGCCTCCAGAGTAGCTGGAATTACAGGCGCCCGCCACCACACCCAGCTAATTTTTTTTTTTTTTTTTTTTTTTGGATTTTCAGTAGAGACGGGGTTTCACCGTGTTAGGGAGGATGGTCTTGATCTCCTGACCTTGTAATCCTCCCGCCTCTGTCTCCCAAAATGCTGGGATTACAGGAGTGAGCCACCGTGCCCGGCCTCCATTGTAATTTTAATAGGAGTATTTTAACTTATATCTATTCCGAGATATGCAAAAATCAGACACAAAAGACTAATTGCTGTGAATTCTACATTTTAATTATATTCCCTATCAACCAGAAACTTTGAGGTCAAAAGAGTTAGAGAATTCAACAATGTCCGCCATATCTAAGACTTCTCATTCTTTTTTCCTTTCTAATTTTTTTTATCAGACGGACATGAGACGTGAGGGTTTTATTAAAGAATTCTAACACCAAGTCTGTAGGCTTTTGTAAAACATTTTAGAAAATGCAACATGTAGTTGATACTTATTCTAGAATTTCCAGGCTTCAGAACTTTTAACTTAGCTTTATAACAATGTATCAGTACTGTGTGTGTGTGTGTGTGTGTGTGTGTGTGTGTGTGTGTGTGTGTGTAACAAAGGTGATATGCCAGGGATAAAATATTAAACTTTTTCAATGGTTTAGCAACCAATATGAGTGCTAAACATAGAAAGGGATGTAAGCTCCTTGAAAACTTAGTGATATCTTTTAAATGTGGTTGAAACCGCACTAATACTTATAAATTCAGTATTTTTAAAAATAATGTTCTATTGGAGGAATAATGAAAAATTACATTTTTCAAACCTTTGCTACCCTGATCCTGTGAAAAGTTAACCAACATAGGTTGAAAAGTAATGATTAGCAGAATTTCTCTAAATCATATTTGCCCTTCCATCTGGCATTTGGCTGCAACGAGATATTTAGCTGTGGCTTATCTTTAATTAGAAGATAAAGTTACAGATAGACCGGGCCAGTTATATGACAAGCAATACCCAGAAATGTAATTGATATATAAATGCAAATGAGTTTTGCTGATTATATTAATAAATTATTATTCTTTATAATTAGGTTCAGAATAATTATATTCTAATAATATTAATGTTAATTAGAATTATTAATTCCTAATAATTATGTGCATGTTAATGATTATTTCAGCATATCAAAAGGCACAACTTTTTGTTCAATGATTTTGTTGTCTGTGTATCCTATGAAATAGTTTCCATATGAAAATTTCAAGTATTATGAAGAAGAATAAAATATCTTCAACATCCAAACCTAATCTCATGGTCCTCCCCAAAAGTAATGAGTACCTTTTTTTTTCCTTTTTTATATCCAAAGAATATTGAATCAAGAAGATTATTATAGAATTTGAGACCAATGACAAAGTAGAAACAACACAGTAGGTTAGACAGGGGATGCTTATTATGAGAATATTAACTATAGTAAAGGAGTTAAGTATAAGATGTGAGGGTAAATCTATATAGTACCTTAGGACTAAGGGAGAGTATCCAGAGAAGAACAAATGTGGAAGGGAGTTTGGACCTTGGAGGAGAAGGTAAGGTTGAACCACCAGATTGCCAGATGGCAGAGAAGTACAGTAGTTTAGCTAGACCAGAGATGGTCTGGAAATTCTGAGCAAATGATAGGCATCTCCATGGAGTGCAGGGAGGGAACAGGTGATCAAGAACTGGTGGTACGGACATGCTGTAGGAGTTCAGGTGCCAGTGGCAGCAAAGGTCTTCAGAGCATGTGGGCTGCATGGGGACTTGCAAAGGGAGAAGAAGCTCTGTATGGATTGCCTGGGCCCTTGGCTGCTTGCACAGGCTGCATGGGGTCTTTTGGAAAGGCTGCGTAGTGTATGACCCATTGCACCACAGGTCTTTGTGTAGACTGCCTGGGAGTTTTGGTTTTCATGTTGAGAGGACTACAGAAAGGTTATCACCAAGAGGACTACAGAAAGGTCATCACCAGGTAGAGGCTGTGAGGTCACAGGGGAATAGTGTTCTGACCCATGGCTGGGGCAGGCTCCACTGGTTATCTTCATGCACCCATTGCCAAACCCTCTCTCCAGAAATTGCAGTTAGCCTTTACCTCCTACAATGTCCCTCCAGCACAGTCTACTGAGAAAGCTTACCCTCATATTCACCTTGAAGAAATACTTAAACCAATCCTGTTGTTTATCATAGAGTATACATGGAAGGCTGCATTTAGAGATGAGAGGCAATAAATTAATAAATGAAACAGTCCACCACTTTAGCTACTCAGTTTCCACATGAACCTTTCTACACAAATTGGCAAGAGAGGAAGTTCTGACTCTTCCCCCAAAGGAGAAGACACACAGCCCCACTCAGCATTGTGTCCACTGTTAGCTATATTAATTGCTCCTCAAATTCAATCACTATCTCACAAAGTCTTACCTAAATTTAAATTGTAAATTTAAACTCCAATAACTCTTAATTGATTTTTTAAAAATTTTTGATTTTTCTGGGTACATAGTAGGTGTATATATTTATGGGATACATGAGATGTTTTGATACAGGCATGCAAAGTGAAATATGCACATCGTGGAGAATGGCATATTCATTCCCTCAAGCATTTATCCTCTGAGTTACAAACAATCCAGTATACTCTTTAGGTTATTTTAAAATGTGCTAGTGAATTATTATTGACTATAGTCATTCTGATGTGCTATCAAATAGTAGCTATTATTCATTATTTCTAACTATTTTTTGTACCATTAACCATCCCTACCTTTCCCCAGCTCCCCAACTACCTTTCCCAGCCTATGGTAACTATCCTTCTACTCTCTATTTCCAGGAGTTCAATTGTTTTGATTTTTTGATCCCACAAATAAGTAAGAACATGCAAAGTTTGTCTTTCTGTGTCTGGCTTACTTTACTTAACATAATGATCTCCAGTTCCTATCCACATTGTTGCAAATGACTGGTTCTCATCCTTTTATATGGTTGAATAATACTCCATTATATATAGTTATCACCTTTTTTATCGTTCATCTGTTGATGGACACCTAGGGTGCCTCCAAGTCTTATTTATTGTAAACAATGCTGCAACAAAGGTGTGCAGATATCTCTTCAATATGCTGATTACAAGATATCAAAGAAGAGTGCAGATATCTCTTCCATATACACTTAGGTTGTCCCCAAATCTTAACTACTGTAAACAATGCTGCAACAAGAGTGCAGATATCTCTTTGATATATTGATTTCCTTTCTTTTGAATATATACCCAGAAGTGGGATTGCTGGATCATATGATAGCTCAATTTTTACTTTTTTGGGGACCCTCCAAACTGTTCTCCATGTGGTTGTACCAATTTACATTCCCATCAACAGTGTACAAGAGTTCCCTTTTCTTTTTTTCTTTTCTTTTTCTTTTTTTTTTTTGTTCTGTTTTTGAGTCAGAGTCTCACTCTGTCACCAGGCTGGAGTGCAGCGGCGCGATCTTGGCTCACTGCAACCTCCTACTCCTGGGTTCAAGTGATTCTCCTGCCTCAGCCTCCCAAAGTGCTGGGATGCTGGGATTACAGGCGTGAGCCACCGCACCCGGCCAAAGGTGTTCCCTTTTCTCTGCATACTCAACAGCATTTGTTATTGCCTGTGTTTTGGATATAAGCCATTTGAATTGGGGTGAGATGATATCTCATTGTAGTTTTGATTTGCATTTCTCTGATCATATGCCTGTTTACCATTTTTATGTCTTCTTTTGAGAATGTCTATTCAAATCTTTTGCCTATTTTCGATCAGATTACTGAATTTTTTCTATAGAGTTGTTTGAGCTCCTTATATATTCTGGTTATTAATCTCTTCTCAGATGAGTAGTTTACAAATATTTTCTCCCATTGTATGGATTTTATCTTCCCCTTGTTGATTGTATCCTTTGCTGAGAGAAAACTTTTTAACTTTGATAATCCCATTCATCCATTTTTCCTTTACTTGCCTGTGCTTGTAGAGTATTGCTCAAGAAATTTTTGCCCAGACCAATGTCCTGAAGATCTTCCCCAATGTATTATTGTAGTAGTTTCATAGTTCAAGGTCTTAGATTTAAGCCTTTAATGCATTTTGATTTTATTTTTGTATATGGTGAGAAATAGGGGTCTAGTTTCATTCTTATGATGTGGATATCCAGTTTTCCCAGCACCATTTATTGACAAGACTATCTTTCCTCCAGTGTATGTTCTTGGTACCTTTGTCAAAAATGAGTTCATTGTAGGTGTGTGGATTTCTTTCTGGGTTCTCTATTCTGTTCCATTGGTCTATGTTTTTGTTTTTATGCTAGTACCATACTGCTTTGGTTACTATTGCTCGGTAGTAAAATTTGAAGTCAGGAACTGTAATTCCTTCAGTTTTGTTCTTTTTTCTTAGAATAGTTTTGGTTATTCTGGGCCTTTTGTGGTTCCATATGTATTTTAGGATTGTTTTTTCTATTCTGTGAAGAATGTCATTGGTACCTTGACAGGGATTGCATTGAATCTGTAGATTGCTTTGGGTGGTATGGACATTTTAACAAGATTGATTCTTTCAATCCACGAACATGAAATTTTTTTTTCATATTTTTGGCATCCTATTCAATTCTTTCATCAATGCTTTATAGTTTTCATCATAGACATCTTTTACTTCTTTGGTTAATTTCTGGGTATTTAATATTACGTGTTGCTCTTGTAGATGGAATTGCTTTTTCATTCTTTTTTCACATTGTTCACTGTTGGCATATAGAAATGCTACTGATTTTTTGTATGTTGATTTTGTATCCTGCAACTTTATTAAGTTTGTTTATTAGTTCTAATAGTTTTCTTGTCGTGTCTTTAGATTTTTCCAAATTTAAGATTATATCATTTGCAAAAAAAGGATAACTTGACTTCTTCCTGTCCAGTTCACATGCCCTTTATATCTTTTGTCTTGTTGCTGTAGCTAGGACTTACAATACGATGTTGAAAAACAGTGGTGACACTGAGAATTCTTGTCCTGTTCCAGATCTTAGAGGAAAGGCTTTCTGTTTTTCCCCATTCAGTATGATACTAGCTGTGGGTCTGTCATAAACGCCTTTTATTATGTTGAGGTATGTTCCTTCAATCCCTGGTTTTTTTAGGGTTTTTTTTTTTTATCATGAAGGGATGTTGAGTTGTGTCACATGCTTTTTCAGCATCAATTGAAATGATCATATGGTTTTTATCTTTCGTTCTGCTGATATAATGTATCATGTTAATTGATTTGCACATGTTGTACCATCCTTGCATCCCAGGGATAAATTCGACTTGGTCATGATGAATGATTTTTCTAATGTATTGTTGAATTCAGTTTGCTAGTTTTTTGTTGAGGATTTTTGCACCAATATTCGTCAGAGATATTGGACTGTAGTTTTTAATTTAGATGTGTCTTTGTCTGGTTTTGCTATCAGGGTAAACTGGCCTCGTAGAATGAGTTTGGAAGCATTTCCTCCTATTTTTCAGAATAATTTCAGTAGGCTTGTATTAATTCTTCTTTAAGTGTTTGGTAGAATTCAGCAGTGAAGTCCTTGGGTCTTGGGCTTTTCTTTACTGGGGGACTTTTTGTTATGGCTTTGATCTTGTTACTTTTATTGGTCTGTCCAGGTTTTGGATTTCTTCCTGGTTCAATTTTGGTATGTTGCATGTGTCTAGGAATTTGTCCATTTCTTCTAGATTTTCAAATTTATTGGCATATAGTTACTCATAGTAGCCACTAATGATTCTTTGAGTTTCTGCAGTATCAGTTGTAATGCCTCCTTCTTCATTTCTGAATTTATTTATTTGTATCTTCTGTTCATTTACTTCTGATCTGATCTTTATTATTTATTTTCTTCTACTAATTTGGGGTTCAGTTTACTCTTGCTCTTCTAGTTCTTTAAGATGCATCATTAAATTGTTTATTTGAAATTCTTCCTCTTTTTTGGTATAGGCACTTATAGCTTTAAATTTTCCTCTTAGTACTGTTTTTGATGTATCCCACATATTTCGGTATAGTGCTTTTCCATTATCATTTGTTTCAGGAAATTTTTCAATTTTCTTCTTAATTTCTTCATTGACCCACTGGTCATTCAGGAACATATTGTTTAATTCCCATGTATTTGTATAGTTTCTGAAATTCCTCTTATTATTTATTTCTAGTTTTATTCCATTGTGTCAGAGAAGATGCTTGACATCATTTCAGTTTTTCAAATGTTTTAAGACTTGTTTTGTGACCTAACATGTGGTCTATCCTTAAGAATGACCCATGTTCTGAGGAAAAGAATGCGTTTTCTGCAACCATTGTGTGAAATGTTCTGTAAATACCTTTTAGGTCCATTTGGCCTATAGTGCAGATTAAATCCAATGTTTCTGCCTGGAAAATCTGTCCAATGCTGAAAGTTGGGAGTTAGTCTCCAGCTATTATTGTATTGAGGCCTATCCCTCTCTTTAGCTCTAGTAATATGTCCTTTTTATATCTGGGTGTTCCAGGGCCTTGGCTGCATATATATTTTAATTGTTATATCTTCTTGCTAAATTGACCCCTTTATCATTATATAGTAACTTTTGTCTCTTCTTGTAGTTTTTTTCCTTGAAATCTCTTTTGTCTAAGTATAGCGACTCCTGCTCTTTTTTTGTTTCTGTTGGCATGGAATATCCTTCTCCATCCCTTTATTTTCAATCTGTGTGTGTCTTTATGGATGAAGTGTGTTTCTTTCATGCAGCAAATCCATGGCTCTTGCTTTTTCATCCATCAGCCACTCTCTGTCTTTTGATTGGCTAGTTTAGTACATTTCCATTCAATGCTATTATTGACAAATAAGGATTTACTCTTGCCATTTGTTACTTGTTTTCTGCTTGTTCTGTGATCTTCTTCCTTCTTTCTTTTCTTCCTGTCTTCCTTTAATGAAGGTGATTTTCTCGGATAATACAATTTAGTTTCTGGCTTTTTATTTTTTATTTGCCCATTGTATGTTTTTTGGTGTGAGGTTATCAGGAGACTTCCACATATGATCTTATAAACTCATTATTTTAACCTGATAACAAGTTAACACTGATTGCATGAACAAGCAAACAAGCAAGAAGAAAACTAATAAAGGCTCTATGCCTGAACTTCATAGCCCTCCTTTTTAATATCTTGTTGTTTCTATTTATATCTTATTATATTATGCCTTGAAATGTTGTCACAGTTATTCTTGGTTGATAAATTGTTTAGTCTTCCTACTTAGTGTAAGAGTAGTTACAGTGTTATAATATTCTGTGTTTTTCTGTGTACTTACTGTTACCAGTGAGCTTTTGAATCTTCAGTTGATTACTTATTGCTCATAAATGTCCTTTTCTTTCGGATGTGGTACTTCCTTTACCATTTCTTGCAGGACAGGTCTGATATTAATTAAATTCCTCAGCTTTTGTTTGTCTGGGAGAGTCTTTATTTCTTCTTCATGTTTGAATGATATTTTTGCCAGATAAAGTATTCTAGGGTAAAAGGCTTTTTGTTTGTTGTTTGCTTGTTTTCATGCCACTCTTTCCTGGCCTGTAAGGATTCCACTGAAAAGTCTGCTGCCAGATGTATTGGAGTTCCATTGTATGTTATTTGTTTATTCTCTTACTGCTTATAGGATCCTTTCTTTGTCCATGGCCTGTGAGAGTTTGATTATTACATGTCTTGAGGTAGTCTTCTTTGGTTAAATCTGCTTCCTTTTTTATAACCTTCTTGTACTTGGATATTGACATCTTTCTCTTGGTTTGGGAAGTTTTTTGTTATAATCCTTTTGAATAAATTTTCTACCTCTGTCTCTTTTTCTGTCTCCTCTTTAGATTTTGAGGCTATCTTCTGTATCCTGTAGACATGCTTCATTTTTTTAATTCTTTTTTTATTTTGTTGCTTCTGACTATATTTTCCACTGGCCTGTCTTCAAGCTCACTAATTCTTCTGCTTAGCCAATTCTGCTATTAAAGGACTCAGATGCATTCTTCAGTATACCAATTGTATTTTTCAGCTCCAGAATTTCTGCTTGATTCTTTTTAATTATTTCAATCTCTTTGATAAATTTATCTGATAGAATTCTGAATTTCTTCTCTGTGTTATCTTAAATTTTTTTTTAGTTTCATCAACTCAGCTATTTTGAATTCTCAGTCTGAAAGGTCACATATCTCTGTCTCTCAGATATGTGACCTTTCATCTCAGACTGGTCCCTGGTGCCTTATTTAGTTCATTTGGTGAGGTCATGTTTTCCTGGATGATGTTGATGCTAATAGATGTTCTTCAGTGTCTGGGCATTGAAGAATTAGGTACTTATTGTCATATTCACCCTGTGGGCTTATTTGTACCTGTCCTTCTTGGGAAGGTTTTAAAGACATTTTGAAGGACTCAGGTGTTGTGATGTTAGCAGGTACCCTAAGTCCAGAAACACTGTAGTTCTTGAAGACTCATGGAGGAAACACCTTGATGGTCCTCAACAAGCTCTGGGCGAATTCTCTGAATTCCCAGGCAAAGACTCTTGTTCTATTCCCTTATGTTCTCCCAAATAGAGTCTCTCTGTTCTGAGCCACTAAAGCTAGGGGTAAAATGACAGAAGCCCCACTGTGGCCACCAAAACTATGACTGTGTTGGGTCAGGCCTGAAGTCACCACAGCACTGGGTTTCACCCAAGTCCTGTTGTAACAACTCCCTGGCTACTGCCTATGTTTGATCTAGGTCCTGGGGCTCTACAATCATCATTTGGCAAAGCCAGCCAGGCCTGTGTCCTTCCCTTCAAGGTGATGCGGTCCCTCAAGCCCCTGAGGGGTCCTAAGGTGCTATCCAGAGGTTCTGTCTGGGAGTCAGAGACTAGAGTCAAAATCTTTAGAAATCTACCTGGAATTCTCTGGTATCGAGGCTGACTTGGCAGTCAAAGCACAACATGCAGTCCCTCCCACACCCATTTCCAAAGGCAGAGAAGACTTATCCCTTAGCCACCACCACCACCACAGGCCATGGGAGTGCTCCCAGACTACCTCTGATATTCCCTTAAGGCCCAAAAGCTAAGTCAGTTTTGGTGAATGCTGTATAGCCTGGGACTTTCCTTTCAGGGCAGTGAGCTCCCCTCTGGCCCAGGGCAGGTTCAGAAATGTCATCTAAGAGTCAAGTCCTTGAATCAGGGACCCCAAGAGCCCACTTGATGGTCTACTTTCTGTTGCCATCCTGGTACCTAAGGTGCATGACAAAGTCCCCTTTACTTCTTCCTCTGATTTTCTCAAGCAGAAGGAGTTTTGCCCATAGCCACTTCAGCTAGTAATGTGCTTAGTCTCACCTAAATCTGGCAAGCCTCAGAAGCTCACCCAAGGCCCTTGCTGTAGTATCTGGGTATTGCTTCTGGTTATTCTGGACACAAGGGCTCTTCAGTTAGCAGGTGATGTATGCTGCTAAGACTGAGTCCTTTCAAGGCAGCAGGTTTCTTTCTGGCTAAGGGTCTGTCTAGAAGTAATATCTGGGAGCTAGGGCCTGAAATAGGGACCTCACCACTCTGACCGGTGCCCTATCCTGCTGTGGCAAACGTGGTACCTAAGATGCAAGATAAAGTCCTCCCCACGTTTCCTTTTTCTTTCCTCAGGTGTCTCTTTTGGAGCCTCAAGCTGTGCAGCCTGGGGCTAGGGAAGATGTGATGCCAGCACTCCCTTGGCTGCCCTAGCTGGTGTCTGAGTATATTGTGTACCCCTCCTTCCCAGTCCACTGTCTCTGGGCCTGGTTCAGCACTAGGACACATCTAAGAGTTGTAGCCCTGGCCGGGCACAGTGGCTCACGCCTGTAATCCCAGCACTTTGGGAGGCCGAGGCAGGCGGAACATGAGGTCAAGAGATCGAGACCATCCTGGCCAACAAGGTGAAACCCCATCTCTACTAAAAATACAAAAATTAGCTGGGCATGATGGCACACGCCTGTAGTCCCAGCTACTCAGGAGGCTGAGGCAGGAGAATCGCTTGAACATTGGAGGCAGAGGTTGCAGTGAGCCAAGATTGCACCACTGCACTCCAGCCTGGGCGACAGTGAGAATCCATCTCAAAAAAAAAAAAAAAAAAAAAAAAAAGAATTGCAGTCCTTATGGCCTAGACTGCCTTTCAAGTTTACTTTGAGACGGAGAGCACTGTAGCCCTTGGTGGAGAGGTTTGGGGAAATTCAAGTTAGGATAGTTGAGATTTGCAATTCTTTTCTGGGTAGGGCTGGTTTAAATGCTTTTTCTGTGGGCAGGCATCAGCTGAGTTTGGTCCAGTTTTCCTTTCTTCTCTAAAAGGACAACACTGAGTTCAATGAATCACAATTGCTGTGCTCCCCTGCCCCCAGCAACCAGAGATGCTCTCTGTACCACATAGCCACTATGGAGGTTTGGGGAAGCTTGGCATTGGCAATTCAGGACTGGTTTTTTTCTATCTCTTCCGTGCCTTTTTCAGTGATATGAAGTTACAACCAGGTTCTATGAGTGTTCATGTGATTTTTTGGTTCTTATGAAAGCTTTTTTTTTTTTCTGTTTACATAAAAATAGTTTCCAGACATTGTCTTTCTTTTTCTTTTACAGCAGCAACCCAGATTACTCTGGGTAATCAAAATCAATCATTCCAGCCAGTAGATTAGCTCCCTTTTAGCTCCTTTTTTTGTTAGTTTGCTTATTTGTTTAGTGGTGGAGGGAGCCCAAAGTGACCAGATCAAAACTTCATCTTTCAATTTGATGAAGTCATTGCTATGGACCTATCATGTCCCCCAGGGGAAGCATTCCTCTTGTAGGCTAAGATCTCCAATCCAGCAGAGCTCAACATTATCAGAATAAGAGGCAAAATTTTGCAGGGGGTTATTAGATAATAGAGTAGACATTTTCACTTTCACACCTTGATTCCAGGACACACGCACTCTGACTGTAGGAAAAACAATGACATACAGTGACCTCTGATTCAAAGCATAAACTGCACCCTATAAAACAAAATCCTGCGCATTCAAGCTGTAATTTACCAATTGACACCATAACAGAGTCTTTATTAAGCCATGTTACCTTTCAATTAGGCCAACTGCTCTTGGGTAATGAGGTATATGGGAAGGCCATTTGATTCTAAGACATGATCCCATTATTGCATTTCCTTTGCTGTGAAATGCACTTCTGGATCCAACGCAGTACTGTGAGGAATCCCATCACGGTGGGTCAGGCATTATTTGAGTCCATTTATGGTAGTACTAAAAGAAATATTACCAGCAGGGAAGATAAACTCATATCCGGATCATATGTCTATTCCAATGAGGATAAATCTGTCACTTCCGTGATGGAAGAGAGCCAATTCAATCAACCTGCCGCTAGGTGGCAGGGTGGTCCCCAGGGAATGGTGCCACAATGGAAACTGTTGATATCCAAAATTGGCAGATAGACAAATGGGACTTAATTAAACTAAAAAGCTTCTGCATAGAAAAAGGAATACAAACAGGCAACCCTCGGAATGGGAACAAATATTTGAAAACCATTTATCCAACAAGGACTAATATCCATAATTTACAAGGGACTCAACAACTCAACAACAAAAACTAATAATCCATTAAAAATACGCAAAGAATATTAATAGTCATTTTTCAAAAGAAGACATCTGATGGCCAACAGGTGTATAAAAAAATGCTCAATATCACTAATCATCAAAGAAATGCAAATTAAAACCACAATGAGATATGATCTAAGGCCAGTCAGAATGGTTATTATTAAAAAGACAAAAAATAACAAATGTTGGTAGAATGTGGAGGAAAGAGAACTCTTATACACTGTTAGTGGGAACATAAAACAGTATGGAGATTTCTCAGAGAACTAAAAATAGAACTACTATTCAATCCAGCAATTCCACTATCTGGTAACCACTCAAAAGAAAATAAATCATTATATCAAAAAGATAACCGCACCTATATGTTTGTGGAAGAACTATTCACAATAGCAAAGATATGGAATCAACCTAAGTGTCCATCAGTGGATAACTGGATAAAGAAAATGTGGCACATGTCCGTAATGTGACACCATTTAGCAGTAAAAAAACAAAAAAAAATTTTTGTCTTTTGAAGCAACTTTAATGGAACTGGAGGACATTAGCTTTAGTGAAACAAGTGAGACATAGCAAGACAAATACTGTATATTCTCACTTTATAAGTGGGAGCTGAATAATGTGTATGCATGGATGTAGAATGTGGAATAACAGACAAAGGAAACTCGGACAGGTGAAAGAGTGGAAGTGAGGGAAGTGATGATAAATCACTTAATGAGTGTAATGTATATTATTTGAGTGATGTGATGCATGCCATAACTTTATACACATACTAGAAAAGAAATTTTGGAGAATTAAAAGCAAAAAAAATGGTAGATCAGGCTACACATTAGTGGTAGCCAGGTCAACCTTAGTAAGAAGTTCCTGTTGAGCCCAGACATAGCCTACAACCCTGTTATTATGGTCACCATGTTCATCAGTCCATTGGGCAAGCACTGGGGTGGCTGGGGAAAGAGAATTGCTAACATACACAGAGATATTACTTTGTTTACTTATTTTTCCCCAGATTTATTGAGTTATTGACAAAGGTCTATGTACTTAAGGTTTAAAATGTGATGTTTTGACATATATATACATTGTGAAGTGATTATCACAACCAAGCTAATTAACATACTCCTCACCTTCACATAGTAGTTTTTTAAATATTGAGAACATGTAAGATCTACTCAAATTTTAAGTATACAATACATTACTATTAACTACAGTGGATGCCTTTTCCTGAGCATCCACATGGGACAAAAATATCTTCACAGTCTGTGTCCATTCTGAGAGGTCAATCCACATACTTCTTCCCCAAACACATTTGTTACAAGTCTTCTAAGTTTACTTCTTTGAAAGTCCCTAACCCTTCAGCTAAACCATTAATTAGCAAGTGCTCATAAATTAGTATAGATCTACACTCCGGCCAGTTCTCACTCCAGATATAATGGACAACAAATATACTTCATGAAGGTCTGCCACTGGGGAGATTTTCCTTTATCTTTGCCAAGAACCACCCCTGACTGAGGCTGTTCATTAATTTATGTCAATTAATACAGCAAAATCTAGTGTTATATTGCTTCCTTTTTGGTCTAATATCCTTAAACAATATTCTCACACATTCCCATGGTTTCTGCCAATATATATTAGCAAGGTCTTGCTATTTCACCATGGGTTATGTTGTCTGCCACCCCAGAGCCCACTGAGATTTGACACTAGCTATGGGCCTAGTGACAATGGAGGTGGGGGTTTGTGATGGATCCCAAGAAGAATAAGCATTACTTTCCAAGGCATCCAACCCAACTTACTGTATCAAAGGGTTTTCAGGCTGAGGAAGGCAGACTCCTGGAGTACCAGATGGCCAGCCATTTCTGTTGGTAAGAGATGCTCAGAATGAGTTGAGGGTTCAAGATTATCAGTTTTATCTGGGTTCAACCAGATGTCTTCATGACAAATTTTAGAATCTCACTACTTTTCAATCAATAGCCTTTAACATAAGAAACTTGGAGATACTATGAATTGTCATAACACACTTTTAATACAATTGTCATTGTAATTTAACAACTCTCACAATTAAAATTTGTGTCTGATTTTCAGCGATATTGGCCCTGCACCTATTATACTAGAAAAAAAAAACATTGTCATAGGGATGTCATGGAGGGCTATTGTGAAAGCTGTCTGATTTTTCGGACCGTGACGTGAAATGGAAGATAATAGACCTTAGCTTGTCATTTTCTCTTTGTAAGCACTCAAGTGCACTAAACAAAAACAAACAAACAAACAAACAACTATTTCACACTGCAGCCTTTATAGTCATTATTACTGCCATACAGTTAAGGATAGCACCCACTTGAACTCCCAAGGTATGTGTTTCAATTGGCACTTAATTATAATCAGCTGCAGAGGATGGCTTGATTAATTGTAATGTCATTTCATGCCATTGGTTATTAGTGTCCCATATCTCACTGGTAAAGATCATGCTCAGACCCAAGGGCATAACCAAACCAGTCCTCACACCCCATCTGAGGTAGGCTGAAAAAAATTCCCCCTAAAAGACCACACGTCTCACACGTCTCACATGTCTCACATCCTAATCTCTGAAACCTGTGACTTTTACCTCGTGTGGTAAAAAAGAAGCTGAGGAGTGCAAATGAGATTAAATTAAGGATTTTGAGATGGAGAGAATATCCTGAATTATTCGGGTGGGCCTTAAATACAATGACACTTATCCCTAGGGGAGAGGCAGGAGAGATTTGATACATACAGAGGATAAGGTCATATAAAGATACAAGCAGATTTCAAGGTTGGAGTGAAGTAGCCATTAGCCAAGGAATGCCAGAAGCCCTCAGAAGGTGGAATGGACAGGAACAGACTTTCCCCTGGATCCTCCAGATGGAGTGAGGCCCTGCCCACAGCTTAACTATGGCTCAGTGATACTGATTTTTAACTTCTAGCCTCAGAACTGTGAGATCCATGAATTTCTGCTGCTTTAAGCCACCCAGTTTGGGGTAACTGTCACGGAAGCCCAGGAAACTAATATGTCATCTTTAGGGGGTATATTTTCTGGAACTATGCCTGATAGCAATTCTGCAGCAATCTGGATAGTCAGGAGATATATACCAGAAAGTATGTTAAAAAGGGTAAGTTAAACTGTAAAATTATTAACTATAGTAAAGGACTAACTATAAAATACAAGAGAAGTCTACATAGTAACCCAGGACTGAGAGAGAGTGCCAAGAGCAGAACAAACTTGAAAAGGAGTTCAGACCTCATAGCACAGGTGGGTTAGCCACCAGATAGCCAAGAAGTTAAATAGTTTCGCCAGTCTGGAGCTATTCTTGAGATTCTGAGCAAATAGACAACCCTCTGGATTGTAGCTGCAAAAGCTGGCAATGAGTAACCAGTGGCAGCAGGAGTCCAGGTGACAATAGGTAGGGAAGACCTCAGAGTATGCAGATCTCTTCGGAGGGAGTGGCAGCTCTGCCGGAATACCTAGGGCATAGGTAGGCTGTATGCAGACCACATAGAAACTCGTAGAACAAGTAGTGTTCTGCATGTAACCCTTTGTGTTATAGGCAGCTTTATGTAAGCCATGCAGGGATATTGATTTCCATGTTAAGAAGTTTGTAGAAAGGCCATTGCCAGGCAGAGGTTGGTGGCAGAGAGATTATGTTTCGGGTCTTACGCTGGGGTAGGCTCCGTGGCACCAACACTAATCTCTCCCCGCCAGTGGCCACCCTTTGGCATGGAAATTGCAGGAGTCTCTTGCTCCTGCAAAGTCTCTCCAGTACCCTCTACTTAGAAAGCTTAGCATCATGCTCACTTTTTAAAGGGGAAATGTTTAAAGAAATTTCACTGTTTATCACAGAGTGTATATTGAAGGGTTTATTAGAAGCTGAGAGGCAATGAATAAATGACACCATTATATACATACTGTACAGCTCATGATCAAATTTCCCCAATTGTTCCAAATATGATTTTAACAGCTAGGATTGTTTGTTTTCCCCTTGATTCCAGATTTAATCAAGGCTTACACATTACATTTTGTTGTCAAGTTCTCTTTATTCTTATTTAACCTAGAATATTCCTTCATATTATTTCATCTTTCATAATATTGACATTTTGAAGAGTCTAGACTATCATATGATGTGTTCCACATCTGAATCATCTGATTATTTCCATGTGATATGATTCATTGTAAGCATCTGTGGCAACAGTATCACATAGCAGATATTGCCTTCTTTCTTTTGCACCCTACTAGGGGGCCTGTGATGTCAATTTGCTCCATAGTTGGCAATGCTAAGTAAAACTACTGGGTTGAGATGTTGTCTGCCAGATATCTTTACTGTAAAGGTAGATTTCCCCATTTGTATTAAAAAGTAATCTGTGGAGTGACACTTAAAAACCATGAAAATACTCTTCTTCCTCCCTCCCTCCCTCCCTCTTTCCCTTCCTTTCATTCCTTTCCTTCTTTTCTTTCCTTTCCCCCTTCTCCCCTTCTCCCCTTCTCCCCTTCCCTTCCCTTCCTTTCCTTTCCCTTCTTCCTCCCTCCCTCCCTCCCTCCTTCCTTCCTTGCTTGCTTCCTTCCTTCCTTCCATGCTTCCTTCCCTCCCTCCCTCTCTCTACATTTTAATGAATATCACTATGGATTCAGATTTTTTTAATTCAGTGAATTATAATCTTTTTCTATCATTCTTTTACATATCTTTTTTTAATGAGGTGAAATTCACATAACACAATTAGACATTTCAATTTAGCGATACTTAGTACATTCACAATGTTGTTCAACCCACCTATATCAAGTTCCAAATCATTTTCATGACCCAAAAAGAAAAGCCCATATGCACTAAGCAGCCACTTGTATGTTCTTCCCCCATTAATTTCCTGGCAACTACCAATCTTCTTTGTGTCTCTATTACTTTATCTATTGTGGGGATTTCATATGAGTGGAATAATGGAGTAGTGACCATTTGTGTTTGGTTTCTTTAGCTTAACGTTTTTGAGATTCACCCTTGGGTCCACATATCAGTACCTCTTTTCTTTTTATGGCTGAATAATGGCCATTCTATGTATATATATGACTTTTTTATTTATCCATTCATTTATGGATGGATATGTGTGTAATTTCTACCTTTTGGCTATTGTGAATAGTACTGCTATGAACATTCCTGTACAAGTCTTTGTTTGAATACCTATTTTCAATACTTTTGAGTATATACAAAGGAGTGGAATTACTGGGTCAAATGGTAATTTCATATTTATTTTTTTGAGAAACTGCCAAACCTTTATACAGTGGCTAAAGCATTTCACATTTCCACTAGCAATGTATGAGGGCTCTTTTTTCTCTACATCCTTGCCAACACTTGCTATTTTCTGTGTTTTTTTTTTTATTGTGGCTATGTTAGTGGGCATTAGTTGATGTTTCATCGTGGTTTGGATTAGCACTTTCCTGATGACTGATATTAAACTTCATTTTGTGTGCTCATTAGACATACATATATCTACCTTGAAGGAATATCTATTCAAATTATTTTTATATTTTTTAAATTGAGTTATTTTCTCTTTATTATTGAGGGTATAATACTATGTTTTCTTATAAGAATTTTATGCTTTACCTCTTACATTTAGGTCTTTCATCTTTTTTCAGTTAATTTGTGTTTATGTTGTGAAGTAAGTGTCCACCTTAATTCTTTTGCATGTGAAGATCTAGTTGTCCCAGCACCAATTTTTGAAGAGACTATTCTTCCCCGATTCGGTGGTCTTAGAACCCTTGGCAAAAATCAGTTGTTCATAAAGTAAATCCATTAACTCAGAATGATCTTACATTTACTTACGTTTTCCATAACTTGTTCAGAAACATTTTTAATTTTCAGTGTACAGGTCTTTCACTTTCTTGCTTAAATTTATTCCTAGGTATTTTATTATTTTGAATGTTCTCATAAATGGAATTTCTTTCTTAATTTCCTTTTTGAATCGTTCATCGCTAGTCTATAGAGATTTCAGCAAATTTGTGTGTGCTCCTTTTGAGTCTTGCAACTTTGTTGAAATGTTTATTAGCTCTGCTAGAACCTTAATGGATTCTGTAAGCTTTTTCTGCATATAAGAGTATGGCATCTGTGAATTAGGATCGTTTTGATTCTTCCTGTCCAATTTGGATATCTTTTATTTTTTTCTTGTTTCATTGATCAGAACTTCAGGCACAATATTGCACAGAAGTGGTGAAATTGGGCATATTTGTCTTGTTCCTAGTATTAGGGGGAACATTTTCTGTTTTTTACCATTGTGGATGATGTTAGCCTTGAGTTTTTCATAAATGCTCTTTAGCAGATTGAGGAAGTTTCCTGCTATTTCTACTTTGTTAAGTGTTTTTATGGTGAAATGGGCACTCCTGCAATACTTATCTAGGCCACTTATAACTTTAGACCTTACTTCCTGCTTACGCTGAGCCTAAAGATCAGCCAGAGATGAAAGTTTAGGATTTTCTCAGTTCTCTTCTGAGGCATGCAACCTGCCCTGGCATCTATATGTCTTCCTGAATTCTGCAGTGAACATAGTGCTTTTAAATGCCTCATTTTCCCAAAGAAACTCCAAGCTTTCTTCCTAGGATTTCAGTATATCAATTGTTTTCCTTGATTTTATTATTTTGCTCCAAGCAACTACATGTTATTTATCATTGCTTTACTATCTTTTTGAATGATTCCCTCTGTGTAGCTGCTTTTTTGCTCTAAGAGAATTTCAAGTTAGGTGAAACAAAGTCAAGCATCTTGCATGAGTCTTTAGGCAGGCAACAGACAGGTCAAATACAATTCTTTGAGAGTAAGATCTGCTATTCTTCCTCCAGAACCAAGGACCAGGGTCCCAAACTGGCAACATGGGCCACTATTATCAAATTTGCCACCAAATCAAGGAGGGGTGTAGAGCAAGAACAAGTAAAAGCACTGGAAAATGTTCCTACTATTTTTGAATTACCTTTTCCTCTTTTCAGTGTTTGCTTGGTTGTTGCAAACTTTTGACCATTTTCCAGAGATCTATCAAAGTTGGCTGTGACAGTTTTGCTTGACCTTTTGGTGTTTTTCCACCATTTTCAGTGATAATGGTCCACAAATGAACAACTATTACTATTTGTGATGTTCATATTATTCTCAATTTGCCACTTTTAGTCAATGTGTGCTTTTTATCAGTATTGATTTGTCTCCTCAAGCCTCAGTTTTCCCATTTGTATTACAGAACCATTTCTCTTTCAGGGACTTTGAGGATTAGAGGTTATATTTGTAAGACAGCATAATATTAGGAATGGAGAAGTTTGGTAGCTCTCCATTATGATGGTAATCTCAGATCTCCTTCTTGATGCGTACAGTTTCTCTTCTTCCTTAGTTATTAGACACACATTTATTTGCGACCTCTCAGAAGCCAGGCACCCTGCTAGGCATGGGCGATACACCAAGGAACAATACACAACCCCTAACTCAAAGTGGTCTGTAGTCTAACGACAAAAAGTCAAGTAAATATGCAAGTACCATGTTCAGGGAAGGAAGGGCAAGTATGAGGGGAGAAGTCCAACACTAAACTTAGTGGAGTCTTGAGGGAGATTAGGGAATCCTTTCCAGAGAAAATAGCATTTGAATTTGTACAGGCCATGTTTTCTACAATGGCTAGAAAGAGTAGCAGGTATTATCCATGTTAAGGTAAAGAAAGAGAACACTTCAAGAATTAAAAATTTCATGAACAAAAGCTGCTGAAGCTGTCAAAGAGCAAAAAAAATCTCTGGAAGCTTCAAGAGGCAATTTAGTTCCACAGTGAAATAATTGAGAATACAGAAAGTGGAGAATATTGGAGAAAATAATCATATTTTGAATATTTGTAAGATATTTAAAAAGATCAACCATTAATTGATCCAAAGAGAACACTTTTACCTAGTGCAGAATATTAGAAATTATGGAGGCAATATCTTTTGTTTACAATTCTATAAAAGTAGAAATTATCTTTAGAAGAAAGAGTGTGCTCCCATTATACTACAGATTGTGAAAATGATTTGCCTTGAGTTTGCAATATATATATTCATATATTTGAAAAGAAAGAAGAAAAAACAGGAAGGAAAGAGGAAGGGAGGGAAGAAGGAAGAAAAGAAAGGAGAGAGGAAGGAAGAAGGGAAGGAGAAAGGAAGAAGGAAAAAAGAAAGAAAGAAAAGAGGGATGGAAGGAGAAAGGGAGGGAAGATGAAAAGGGATGAAGAGGGGGACCCAGGAAGTGGGAAAGGCAGGGAGAGAAGGAGATAGGGTGGGGAGGAAGAAGAAAGGGAGAAAATAGAAATAGAGAAAACGTAGGTGGGGAAGGGGAAATGGAGGAGGAAAAGAAGGAAGGAGGGAGGAACAGAAAAAAAGAAAGAGAAAGAAGGAAGGAAAAGAAGAAAAGAAAGAAAAAACACACAGAAAAGAAAGAAAGAAAGAGAAAGAAAGGAAGAAAGGAAGAAAAAGAAAGAAAAGAAAAGAAAGAAAGATTCTGATGAGTTTCTATTTGTTCACTTGATGGAATGTATTTAATCATTTTTTTCAAGATATCTCCAAGATACGAAAGGTAACAGGATGTTTATACCAGAGATAAGATTGGACTGAAATCCTAGTTCACTCTGGGAGCTAATAAAAGTAAAGATTTGAATTTAAGTATCACTTTCTCCTAGAAGCACATGAACAAGGAAATGGGGGTCAAAAGGGCAGTGGCAGTGTTGTAAGCACTTTATCTGAAACATAAACATTACTGGAGTGCATTTTGGACCAAATTACCTCTCTCAGATCTAGGATGTTAGCATTCCTACCCTACTTAAGCATGGCAATTTTACTGTGGCTTTGAGGAGGGCTGAGCTGGGGGCTTGGCTGGACACTTCAGAAAAGGATCTTACCTCAAGGCTAATATAACTCAAGCAATTAAAAGGCATCCCACCAAGGGGCATCTCATAAAACCCCAAATCCATGGAACAGAGCCCTCCCCCTATAAATATCACAGGCGATTGGTGCATATATCACTCCATTCTGAAAGATAAGGCAGCCACCTTTCCCTTGTAAACAGACACAGTTAGTAGATCCAGAAATACTGCACATGAATGAACCATGTCCAATTAAGTCTTGGTTTTATCTTACTGAAAATACCATGGGAATCTCTGTTTTATTCATCACAGACTACAGAAGAATGGACAACAGAATTGTGCTCTCTAAAACCAGAAGTAACACCCACATGGAATAGTCTATTTTAAAAAATATTTTTTAAAAAGATGATGAAGAAAAAAACATAAGATAGCCATCTGGAAAACTGGGCATTCTGCTTGATTTAAAGGCTCCCAGGAATATTTTATGACCAAAACATATATATATATATTTTCTATGATTTAAGTAAAATGTATCTGGGTCTCAGTTCTTCAAAGGAATTTGCTATCCTGAAATCCACCGCAAAATACTGTGATAAAATAGTAGCTCATTGGGTGCACAGACCGTTTTTTAAAAATGAAGTTTATGTAGCATTATTCACAATAACCAAAAGGTAGAAGGAATACAAAAGTGCATAGACGAATGAATAGATAAATAAAATGTAGTTTATATACACAATGGAACATTATTCAGCTTTAAAAAGGAAGAAAACTGATGCATGCTGAAACTTGGATGAAAATGGAGGAAACTTGAAGACATTGTGCTAAGTGAAATGAGCCAGATACAAAAGGACAAACACTGTGATTCCACCAATATGAGGTTCCTAAAGTAATCAAATTCACAGAGACAGAAAGTAGAATAATTTTGCCGGTGGCTGGGGGCAGGGGAGAATAGGAAGTTGTTGTTCAATGAGTACAGAGTTGCAGTTGGAAAGAAGAAAAGAATTCCGGAGATGATGGTAAGGGTGGTAAAACATTGTGAATGTAATTAATGCTGCTTAGTTTGTCACTTAAAAATTGTTAATTTATGTATATTTTACCCAATAAAAATAAAGTTAATAATGAAATTACTTCTCTCCATGCTATTTTGGAATACCTCTATTTGCCCTCTTTCAAAAATGTTGTTATGCTATTAACTTGAGAAATAGCCTATCACAACAGTCCCTGCCCCTGTATACTTCTTTTTAGTATGTCCCTTGACTAATCAGGCAGTTAGTAGCTGTTAAAAATTAGAGAGAAGCAAATTAAAATATCAACAGTTGCATTTTTTATGTTGTATTGTTGGAAGCTGTCAGCACATAGAGTCTTGCTTCTAATCCTGACAAGGATCACCCAGTTACGAACCTCACGGCCTTGCTAATGGATAAGGAGACAGGGATTGCTCTAAAACCCAAACTTTGCAAAGCTGTAAATTGGTTGTGAGCATTGCTTCCAGCATTAATAGCCAAAACATTACTCAGCCAGTCTGAATTTTGCTCATTTTGTATGTTTCTAACTCATTCTAGAAACGCTTCTTGCTGGAACTCTCCTTCTTGGATTAGTAGCTTTGGTCAACCAGGCATTTTTCTTGCTGTAAAATATGAATGTTCTAGGACAGATGTGAGCGAACAAATAAATGAGGACTTGGCTGAAGGGGGATAAAAATTACCAAGAATACAAACACAAATTAAAATTTAAAATATGCTGCACTTGGCATTTATGAAAACAGGAGAGTTAACAGTTTTTCATGCAGTATAGCTTCAACTGACTCTGAATTGTCTTTAAGATATATTCCCATTTTCAGTCTACTTACATTTTAGCCACAAGCTTTCTATAGACACTTGTGAAATAAGAGTCATTTTTATACTGCCTTAATAATGAGGGAGTTGAGATAGTAATAAACATGCAGCACATTTCCATCATGATTTGATTTTGTGTAAAGATCCATCCACATGTTAAATGGTTGAAAAATTTTGGCAGAAATACTACACTTAGACTGGTACAAAAATCTCAACCTTCGTTCTCAAACTAACATCAGTTTTTTTCTCCTGTTTTTCTTAGCCTAAAACCTTCTTGCCCACAATAAAACTGTATAGTATCTCTTGTGTGGTTCCATTATCAGTCTAAGGGGAATAACAGTGTGGATTCATCTGTTGCTCTTTCTACCAGTTTCAGAGATAGGAGAGCTGGAGATAGGGTACACAGGAGGATGTCATACATAGAATATTAACTTCCACAATTCATCGTCCTAGTTAAAAACAACAATGGACACTCTGTCTGCCAGTCATCACACCACACAGAAGCAGCCACAACTCAACAAAGTGCTGGTTCTCTCAACCGTTGGGAGAACCAAGTCCCCTGGAATAGTTTCCAGGTTAATTGAAGAATACAGACAAACGCATATGAAAAAGACACGAGAATTTTTCCAAACAAAAATAACAAGTTTAAATCAATGTAAGTAAATGAGAGGGACTGTGGAGCTACAAGAATAACATCAGGGAGGAGAGTGAGGAGGATAATTTAAAACTCATTATGCTTTGGTCATACTTCTTCCCTTTTACGTGTCTCTTATTTGATACAGTTTACTTATTTGCATGATTCAGTATTAGACAATGCAGATGCACTTGAGAGAATGAATGTTGAATAAGAAATACGACAGCAAAGATAGTTACTGAAAAGTTCATTATATAAAACGCATAAAAAACCCTGCTATAACAATATATAAACTTATTCAAAAATCCATACATCTTTGATCAATTAAAAGAAATGAAAGGATTACGTTTTGATTTTTTTATGATTAAAACTACTTTAATAAAGTTAAATGTCTCTAACTGAAATTCAGAGAAAACAATTACTTTCTTAAAAAACTGTTATTTGTAAAAGTATATTTTACCCCTCTCTTATGACATTTAACTAGCTAAGAACATTTTTAAAGACAATATAGCTTTTCTTAAGTAGTTCACTCCTGTTTTTGCTTAACTTTCTCTTAAACAATTTCTTTATTTCCTTTCTTTTACTGGCTTTCATACAAACCCTTTTTCTAATGATGTTCTAAAACTAAGCCATTGCATACACGTATCACCAAACAGCTATGATAGGTGATGCAAACAGCCAGGAAACTAAGAGGAATAAGCTGGTAAGGCCAACATAAAGCTTCATTATTTTGCATAAACATCAATTCTTTGGCATAAGTGACCAAGCTTTATGGATCAGCCCACACATCATGCCATTTCCCAAAATTCTTTTGATGACAAGTGAATATAAGAAGACAACTGAAAGTCCCCAGACAAGCACAGCAGCCTTTAAAGCACCAGAGAACCCAAAAGAGAGTACAGTAGTAGCCTTGGGGAAAAAAATTCTGGGTTTATTAAACTCAATAAACTCAGTAACAGGATAATTACCAGTGATGGTGTGCACACATGTATATTAAAACACACTTACATAAACAATATACACACATACACACAAAGGAAATAGCCCCTTAATATAAGGTAAATACTTGAAACAATATTTTTCCAAATATTGAGAAAAAAATTTATCTACCAAAAATCTATCATTTTTCTTTGACAAGTCACCTTTTTCTGGTAAATGAAAACCCAAGGTAAATTTTAATAAATTATTATGTACTATGGAAATATTAGACATTATCCAGTTATAAAATAACGTTGATGATGATGAGAAGGATGATGATGATGTTATCTCCCAATCTCTGCATTCAAAGAGATCCTGTAAATCCAGTCCAAATAAAGCAATGCTGGTAAGCACACTATTGGCATTCATCTAACAAGCATTACTGGGCTAATAAGAAGATGTATTAAAATAATCATAATATTACCTGAACATATTAAAATAATGTTCAGGTAAGATTTTCAACCTAAGTTAATCAGAAAATATTTTCAAAATATGCTATTATGGCAACAACACCATTTTTACTTTATTCAAAAGTGCTGTTTTCCCAAATAGCATTTTGAATTATCAAATGGTATTATAAAATATTAAAACTTCAAAAAAGACTATAGTTAACAAAATATTACTTCCTTATTTTACAGGAATGGAAACTTAGGGACACCTGCCCTGAGTCATACCTTTGGTGATTGACCTGTATTGAAATAGAATAGAAACAGCTATTCAAATGTAATATTGTATGGAAATCAAACTTTGGAATGACGGAACCCTACAGTGTATGAGGTCCCTTGGAATACTGAGCTTCTAATTTTCTTTAAGTTTATGATCCCTGACTTCAGTTTAGTACTTTTCCACCAATCATACATTAAGCCTTTAGTTTATGTTTGTTCATTTTAGCTGCATAACAGGAAGTCATTTTACACAGTTGTATGTTGAATTTTACTATAAGAAAAAATCACTAGATAGCCTCAACAGCATATTTTAGCTGGAAGAAGTAAGTATCATTAAAATTAAACATAGGTTGATTGAGATAATACAGACTGGTGAATAAATAGAAAAAAGCATTTTAAATAATGAATAGAGCCTCACAGACTTATGGGACACTATCAAGCGTATTAACATATGTATAGTGGGAATAGCAGAAGGACAGAAAAGAGAGAAATGAGCAGAAAGACTATTTGAAGTATTAATGGCCAAAATGTTCCTAAATTTTTTTTTTATAAAACTGCAACCAACGCAGGAAGCTCAATAAATTTCAAGTAGAGTGAACTCTTCGACAATTAACAACTAGATACACAATAGTCAAATTGTCAAAAACAAAATGAAATTAATAAAAGCAATACAAAAAATGTTACTCATCAACTTCAAGGGATCCTCAATAAGATTAGCAGCTGATTTCCCATTGGAAACCACTGAGGTCAGGAAGCAGTGGGTTGACATATTCAGATACTGAAAGGCAGCGTCTCTACTAAGAATTCTATATCCAACAAAATTGCCATCCCAGAGAATAAGAGGAATTTTCATTAATTTATGGTGGGAATAACAACAGCACACTCACTTTGGAAGATAGGTCGGCAGTCTCTTCTAAAGTCAAATATTATCTTATCTTACAATCTAGCAATCACATTTCTAGCTGTTTACCCATCTGTCTGAAAATGTATGTCCACACATGGACTTGTACTAGAATGTCTTTACAATTTCTATTCATATAGCCAAACCTGGAAGCAACCAAGATGCTCTTAAATAGGTGAATGGATAAACAGAACACAAACTCTAGTATAACCACACAATGAAGTACCATTTGGTGATCAAAAGAAATGAACTGTCAAGCCACAAGAAGACATAGATTAAGCTTAAATAAGTATTGTTAAGTGAAAACAAAACACTCTGTACTATTGGGATTCTATGACACTCTGGAAAAGGCAAAACTGTAGAGACAGTAAAAAGATGAGTGGTTGCCAGGAGTTTGAGGGAAGCAAGTTGAATAGATGAAGCATAAAGGAAATTTTAGGGCAGTGAAAATATTCTATATTATAATGTACTCATACAGACAGAACATTATCCATTTGTCAAAACCCACTGAATGTTATAGCATATAGAGTGAATATTAAAGCATGCAATAAAATAATCATTTAGGTGGTTGGGGAAATTCCAGAATAGAATGCAGAATGTAACAAAACAAAACAGTTTAACTGTATTACAAGTGTATGAAACAACTTCATTAAAAGAATTGAGAAAAAGGTGTTGACCTAAGTAACTCTAGAAATACGTGGAGTCTGTGAAACTTAAGGCAAAAACAAAAGGTGCAAGACACTATACTATCATTGATAACATTGTATTCATGGGGGTTACAGATTATTGATTATGACACTGCTAGATGTATATACTAGAATTGATCAATTAAGTAAATGGATGGAGAAGTAGGAGGTAGGTTTCTCACAACTGGAATAAAAGTTTACAGCAAGGGGAGAGAGTTAGACTGTTCCACGTGTAATGGGTTAGAGTGGGTGACATCAGATGAAGACTTTAGTATAAACTGATGCTTAGTTTAATATATATTTTGGTAGTTACATATAGAAACATTTACAGATTTTGATGGTTACATATAGATATGTATTTATAGATATAGGTATATACATGGGTATATATACATACACTCATATATATTTCCTGGCTTTGTCAGCTGAGATCACCTAGAAGCAACAAAACCCCAGTAGCGACCAGCACATTTAGCACTTAGATCTCGATTTCTAATTTTATTCTCCAATTAAAGTTATCAAGACTCTTTGGAAAACTGGCTGATTTGAGGATTGGGGCAGAAAATATAAAAGATGAGCCTGGGATATTTGTAGTGACAATAGGTAAGGAGGTGATGAAAAACAAAAACCAAAAAACTTCACAATAATTGGAATTATTTCAAAGTGAAAAAAAGCCAATTGGAAGAGCTTCAAATGGCCAAAGCTGGAACAAGTGTAAGTAACAAAATAAATAAATTAGTAATGTATTATATTAGTCAGGGTTCCCTAAAGGGACAGAAAACTAATAGGATATATGCATATATGTAGGGGAGTTTATTAGGAGAATTGAGTCACGTGATAACAAGGTGAAGTCCCACAACAGCCGTCTGCAAGCTAAAAAACAAGTAAGCTAGTTGGAGTCCAAAAACCTCAAAAGTAGGGAAGCCAACAGTGCGGCTATTGGCTGTGGACGAATATCAGTCTGTGGACAAAGGCCTGAGAGACCCTGGCAAACCACTGGTGTAAGTCCAAGAGTCCAAAAGCTGAAGAACTCGGAGTCTGATGTTTGAGGGCAGGGAGCATCCAGCATGGGATAAAGATGAAGGCCAGAAGACTCAGGGAGTCTGCTTTTCAAATTTTGCCTGCTTTATTCTAGCCTCAGGCAGCTGATTAAATAGTGCCTACCCAGATTGAGGGTGAGTCTCCCTCTCCCAGTCCACTGACTCAAACATTAATCCCTTTGGTAACATCTTCACAGACACACCCAGGAACAATACTTTGCATACTTCAATCCAATCAAGTTGACACTCAGTATTAACCGTCATATGTATTATAACCCAATGTATAAAATAAAGTATCATTGAGTCTATCCTGATATAAATAAATGGTTGTATAAATTAATAAATGGAGGAGAATAAACAAATCTCCTGTGCAAAGAATTCCAAATAATTTACATATATATACTTCCTTTAAGGATATAGAGTAAAAGTTTCCACTCCTCAAGTATGTGTTGCGAGTAGTGATTTTTTAAAATAAATCATACAGTATGATAAAGAACGATAAATGGATTTACACTGGAGAAGCCTGACAAACTCTAGCTCAGTAAGGTGATCAAGGCAGTCATCAAAACTGATGTCATGTTGACAGTATGTATTCTCAATATTATATTATAAAAATGGTAGTTTACTTCTGTAGTTTTCATCATAAAATCCATAACTGCCATCTATTTATGAGAAAAATATCAAACAAATCCCAATAGATGTAAATTCTGCAAATTATACCTGACCAGTATTACTCAAAACTATTGAACTCATCAAAAACAAGAAAATCTGAGAAATTTTCACACCTATGAGTAGTCTAAGGAGACATGTTGAGTAAATGCAACGTAATATTCTGGGTGAAAAAGAATAGAGGGTGTTAGGCACAAACTATGAAAATCTGAATAAATCATGAACTTTAAATAAAAATAATGTATCAATATGGGTACATTAAATGTAAAAAAGGTACCATACTAATGTAAGATGTCAATAACAGAGAAAAGTGAGTGTAGAATATATGAGAACTCCCTGCACTATCTTCTCAATATTTTTGTATATATAAAGTTCTAAAACTAAACACAATGAAGAAATAAAGGCATTCTTAGATAAACAAAAACTGAGAGAATGTGTGCCTAATAGACCTGTTATACAAGAAATACTAAAGTGAATACTTTAGGCTTAAATGAAGTGATGCTCTACAATAATTCAAATCCATGTACAGTTAAAAAAAAAATCCAGTAAAGAAAACTACACAGGTAGACAGGTAAGACAAGATATATGTGTATATATACACACACATATCTATATATTACTCTCTCTCTCTCTTTCTATATATATATATATACACACAGTAATCCTTTCTTTATCTACATTTAAAAGGCAAATACATAAAACAATAATTAGGAAACTGTGTTGATGAATGTATGATATATAAAGAAGTGATTTGTATTATAATGATAGTACAATGAGGGGAAGAGAATAAAGCTATAGAAGCAAAGTTTTTGTATATTATTGAAATTAGGTTGGTATTAATCTAACAAAATCATATTAAGTAAAGACATTAAATGCAACCCATAGGGCAACAATTAAGATAGTAACCCCAAAAAATATGATCAAAATTGATGAAACAAGAGAATTAATATGGCAACCACAGTGTATCTATTTGACTCAAAGGTGAGCAGTAATGAAGATCAAGAGGAACAAAAATGTGCAGTCACACACTGAAAACAAATGGCAAAATGGCAGAAATTCTACTTTATCAGAAATTACATGAAATATAAATGGGTTAAATGCTCCAATTAAAGAGTAAGCATTCACATAATGAATTAAAACAACACAATATAAACATATGCTATCTACAAAAGGCACACTTTGGATTCAAAGACACAAATAGGTTGAAAATAAAAGAATGGAAAAAGCCATGCTAAATAAAGAGTCACCAAAACAACTGAGTGGCTATCATTATCGAACAAGATATGTTTTTACAAAAAATTGTCCAAGAGTCATAGAGAGGCATTTTATAATGATGAAGTATCAATTCATCAGAAAAGTTTACAAACTATAAACATATAAACACATAGCAATAGTGTCCTAAAATATCTTAAGCATAAACTGGTGGAATTTAAAGGAAAAACAGACAATTCAATATTCATAGTTAGCGATTTCAATACCTACCTTTCAGGAATGAATAAATAACTAGATAGAAAATTAAGAAGGATATAGAACACTTGAGCAACATTACAAACCAAAATAAACTAATAAATGTCTATAAAAAACTTCACAGCAACATGATACACTTATTTTTCAAGTATAGGCTATGCGTTATGACACAAAATACTTCTTAATAATTTAGAAGGATTGAAATCATACAGAGATTGACCTCTGCAATAGACTTGAAATAAATTTGGGGAATTTCACAAGAGATATTAGAAAATACTTAGAGATGAATAAAAATACAACACATTGATTTTAGATTACTTAGATGAAATGGACAAATCACTAGAAGGGTACAAACTACTAAAACTTACTCAAGAAAAAAATAATACCAAATCGGAGTTGACATGTAAAGGGTTAAAAGGATTGAATTTGTGAGATATGAACTTCACACTAAGAAAAGCCCAGGATGAAATAGCTTCACTGGTGAATTTTAACAAACATTTATAGAAGAAATGCCAGGTTTTCCAAATGTTTCCAAAGAAAGTAGAAGAAAAAGAATACTTCTTGACACATTTTATGTGTCTCCAAAATGAGACAAAGATATAACAAAAAAGAAAAACTGATAAATATTATTTATCAATATAGACGCAAAAATAATCATTAAAAACACTAACAAACTGTATCCAGCAAATATAGACAGAATTATATACCACAACAAGTGGAATTCATCTCAGGAATACAAGGTTAGTTTAACATCCAAAAATCAATCATATGTTACATCGTTTATAGAATAAGGTACAAAAACCACAGGATCATGTTAATACATCCAGAAGAAAATATTTGACCAGTATATATAAAAACACTTAACAAATTAAGAATTAAAGGAAACTTCCTGAACCTGCAAAAGGGCAGTCACAGCTAACATTACACTTCATGGTGAAAGGCCATATGTTTACATCTAATATCAGAAAAACTGAATGTTTTACACTAATATCAGGAATAAGACAAGGATGTCTGCTCTTGTCACTTCTATTCAACATTGTTCTGGATGTTGATGCTGGGAAAATCAGGCATGAAAATAATTAGGTATTTCATTAGGCATGCAAAAAAGTCAAACAAATTAAGGGGAAAAAGGAGTAAATTTATTTCCACTGCAGATGGCATAGTATTGCCTATAGAAAACTTAAAATTTTCCTATAAAATTAAAAGAACTAAAAAAAACAACACTTAAGCAAGGTTGGAGGATGAAAGCATACAAAATTGCAAGTGTATTTCTTTAAATAAGCAATAAATCATATAAAAACAAAATGAAGAAAACAGTTCCTTTTACAACATCATCAAAAAGAATATACCACTTAGAAATAAATTTGACAAAATAAGTTAAATATTTGTATTAAAAACCTACAAGGTATTATTGAAAGAGATAGAAGATTTAAATAAATAGAAAGACATCCATGTTCATGGAATGGAAGGCTTAATATTGTCAAGATGGCAGTTCTCCCCAAATTAACCTAAAGTTTCAATGCAATCTTATCAAAATCCCAGCTAAAATTTTTGCAGATTTAAGAAGCTCATCCTAAAATTCAGAAGGGAATGCAAAAGTCCCAGAAGAGCTAAAATAATCATGAAGAAGATTATTTTAGAAGAGGAAGAAAATTGGAAGACTCACACTTCCCAATTTAAAAACTTAACTACAAAGCTATGATAATCAAGACAATGTGGCCGTAGCATAAGCATATATGTATAGATCAATAGAATAGAAGTGACACTCCAGAAGTATAATTTACATTTATGGTCACTGATTTTCAATAAGTTCAAGAGGACAGTTTAGTGGAGAAAATAATAGTCTTTTCAATAAATAATTTTGGAACAATTGAATATCCACCTGAAAAAAATATGAATTTGAATCCCTCCCTGACATCCCATAGAAAACTAAACCCAAAATGGATCATAGATTTAAAAGTAAGAGCTCACACTTTAAAACTCTTTTTAATTTTTTTTTTTTACTTTTTTAATTAGCCAGCCATGGTGACACATGACTTTAGTCCCAGAACTTGGGAGACTGAGGTGGGGGGACTGCCTGAGCCAGGGGTTTCAAGGCTACAGTGAGCCATAATTGTGCCACTGCAGAGTCTTGCCATGTTGCCCTGGCTGGTCTTGAACTCCTGGCTTCAGGCAATTGTCCCACCACAGCCTCCCAAAGTGCTGGGATTACAGGCGTGAGCCACTGTGCTTGGCCCCATAACACTTTAAAACTCTTAAATGAAACAATGAATACAAATGTTTCTGACTTTGGATTAGGCAATGGTTTCTTAGGTATGACACCTAAAGCACAAGAACCAAAGAAAAAAATAGGTTAATTGGAATTCAAAATTAAAAACTCTGATGTTTTAAATAACACTATCAAAAAGCAAAAAGACTACTCACAGAAAATTTGCAAATCAAATATCTCATAAGGGTCTACTAGAGAGAATACATAATGGTCCTTTACAACTCAACAACCAAAGCAAAAACCCAATTTAAAAATGGACAAAGACTTTCAGAAGACATTTTTTAAAGTATGTATACAAATGGCCAATAAGAACACGAAAAGATGCTCAACATCGTTAGTCATCAAGAACAATGCAGCCGGGCATGGTGGGTCACACCTGTAATCCCGGCACTTTGGGAGGCCAAGGTGGGCAGATCACCTGAGGTTGGGAGTTTGAGACCAGCCTGACCAACACGGAGAAACCCTATCTCTACTAAAAATAAAAAATTAGCCAGGCATGGTGTCGCCTTTCTGTAATCCCAGCTACTAGGGAGGCTGAGGCAAGAGAATCGCTTGAACTTGTGAGGCAGAGGTTGTGGTGAGCTGAGATCACGCCATTGCACCCCAGCCTGGGCAACAAGAACAAAACTCCATCTCAAGAAAAACAAAACAAAACAAAACAAAAACAAAGCAAACTTAAATCACTGAGATACCATTTCATACCCATTAGGATGGCTATAACAAAAACTAAAGACAGTAATACTATTGAAGGGCATGTGGAGAAATTGTAATCTTCATACTTTGCTGCTGTGAATGTAAAATGCTGCAGTCACTTTGGAAAACAGTTTGGCACTTCCTCAGAAAACATTAATCAGATGTATCCTATGATCCAGCAATAGCATTCCTAGGTATATACACAAGAGAAGTGGAAACATATGACTACACAAAAAATTTAACACCAATATTTATAGCAGCATTATTCGTAATAGCCACAAAGTAGAAACAATTCAAATTTCCATAAAATGATAAGTGGATCAACTGTGTTATAGTCATTGGATGGAATATTGTTTGACAATTAAAAAGGAATCAAGTACTAATAGTTACACCTTTAAATGATGCTAAATGTAAAAAGGTAGTCACAGAAGGTTACACATTTTGTCATTCTATTTATATGAAACATCTAGAGTAGGCAAATCCACAAAGACAGACAGTAGACTAGTATTTGTCAGGGATTGGGAGAGAGAGAATGTGTAATTGACTGCTAATTGGTACAGGGTTTCTTTTTGTGGTGATGTAAGTGTTCTAAAATTGACTGCGGTAATAGATGCATAACCAATACACTAAATACAGTTGGCTTTTCATATGTATGGATTCCACATTCACAGATAAGACCAACTGTATATCAAAAATAGTTGAAAATAAAACAATAAAAATAATATAATAATGAAAAATAAAATAGGGTATAGCAACTACTTTACATAGCATTTACATTGAAGTAGGTATTACAAATAAGGGAGAGATGATTTAAATTATATGAGAGGATATGTGTAAATTATATGCAATTACTATTCCATTTCACATAAGAAACTCAAGTATCCTGGGATTTTGGTATTTGCAAGGGTTCCTGGAACCAGTCCCCAATAGGCACCAGGGGACAACTCTAAACTAAATATCCCTGAATTATATATTTTAAATGGGTGAATTTTGTGAAATGTGAACTATATCTCAATGAAGTTCTTAAAATAAAATGAAACCTATTTATTTATTTATTAAGTTGGCTGAGCTACTTGTCTTAGTCCAGTTGTGCTGCTATAACCAAATACTTGAGATAGGGTAATTTATAAGGAAGAGAGTTCTATTTCATCACAGTTCTAGATGGTTGGGAGGTCCAAGATCAACATGCCAACAGGATTGGTTGTCTGGTAAAGTATGCATCCTCTAGAGGGGAGGAAGACTGTGTCCTCACATGGAAGGAGATTGAAGAAGAGAGGCAAATACTAAGAAAAATCTCTTTGATAAAGGCCTTAATCCCATTCATGTGGGAGGAGCCCTCATAGTTTAATCACCTCTTAATACCATCTCAATACCAGAATCTTGGAGGTGACACATCAAATCACAGCACTACTGCTTACTTTTTTTTAAGTATTACTGAATATCTAAACTTGCCCATAAATTGTGAAACTGAGGGCATAAGGAAGGGAAATGGAAACCACTTAAACAAATAAGCTGGAATTTAGCAAATGTTCCCATTCTTAATGCATTAAGCTCAGACTACACTTTTTGTAACTATGAGATTCCTCTTCATATCTCCTTCTCCAGTAACACTATTATAACTTCTAACTCAAGCTATAAGAATAAGAATTCCTAGAGATAATTTTTAAAAATTACCTCAAAGTCATAGTTAAAAATGTTTTGCTTCTCCCTGTTATACCAAGACACTGAATTAGTAGTGTCAGTTCAAGGCTTGCTACTTCCCTCTGTGGTCTGGAATTAAAAATACAAGAATGGCAGCTACAGAGAGACTCCCTGAAATTACATCATATATATAGCAGAGGTTTTCAAACATGGAAACATTTCATGAAAATATAATTTACCTGTCTTAATAATGTGAGCAGGAATTAAAGAGAACATTTTAACTTATAGCCAAAGTCCCCATTACTACCATTTCAGAACATGTGGATCTGCTTTGTGGACTTATACAGTTTCCAATTCACAGAAGACGGAAGACGAGAGGGAAAATGCATTCACAAAATGCTGTAGGAAGAACACATTTTGTCAAAATGTCTGCTTTTTGATAATCTAGAGGAATGCATGCAATAGAATTTATTAAAGCCACACTTTAGGCCGTAAAGCACCTTGCAATGGCAAACATTAGTTAATAGTGAAACTCATTATAAACTCAGACCATTTTAATCCTAGTTAATGAATTATCAGAAAAATTCTGTGTTTCATCAAAATCCTGCAGCATAGAAGACATACAACATAAATGTCAATATCAAGTCAAATTGTCTTTAATTAGATGTGCCATAAAACCTTACTAAGGAAAATAACACAGTGGATTCTTGGGTTAATATTGGAGATTTTTCCAAAAAGTTTTAAAATCACATGACTATATTTTGTTCCAAAAAGCTTGTAACTCTGTTTATTCAAATTCTCTCTTTCCTTTAAGCTGAGATTTCAAGCCAACTATTTGAGGTTCCTCTGTCCCTCCCTTCCTAGTCTGTTTCTTTCTCCAAAGTCAATCAACAGTTGTGTAAGTTAGTGCTTCTCAAACTTTAAGGTGCATATGGATTACCTGAATATCTTATTCAAGTGCAGATTATGACGCAGTAGGTTTAGAGTGGGTGTGAGAATTTGCATTTCTTATCAGCTTGTGATGCGGCTGATGCTGGTAGTCCACAATCGACACTTTGATAGGAAATGTTCAAGCCACATATTTTCACATGGAATTATTTCTACTCTATTCCTTGTGCCCATCCTCAACTAGACTCAGAGTCTCTTGAATACAGGGACAATTTATTTTCCATTTTTTTAATTTTTCTCCATCTTCTAGCATAGGGATCCTTAACATTCTCATTAAAAGTTAGGTATCTATCAGTTGACCCTGCTAAAAACAGGGCAATAGTTAGCCACTCATCACGGCATCCTTACCTGTTTTCAAGTTAATTTGAGACCAGTATAGGATCTTTTACTGATTGTCTCAGTGGCGTAATCACAGTTGCTTCAAATGTGTTCACTGACCCTCGTTAATCTCTCTGAAGTGATGCTTTTAGAAGTAAATAAATTGAATGAAAGAAAAAGGCAAACTGATGTCTAGATACAGTTGTCCTCCTACTGTTAATACTTAGAAATTATGGATAATGTAGCCAAGCTTGAAAGAAAGAAAAGACCATTTACCTGTGCCCAGAATGAAAGGATAATTAGTGAGGTAAATACAAATGATCCTGAGGCAGTGTATTTGAGTATGAGAGCAGAGGGAGGCCCTAGTGGGTGCAGCAACATTTTTCACACAAACCTACTGACAGCACAAGTGACCTCTGCAACACACAGAGACACACTCTCAATATCTCCCTTCAAGAAAGAGTGTATTGCCTAGCTGCAAGGCATGTCATTAGCTGATAGCCTTCTAGTGTTAACTCCATCAGGTTCCCCTCAGCTTTATATCATCATAGGGGTAGCCCTAACTTATGACTGAGTCAGCCTATAGTACAAAGGTCTGACCATATCTGTACAATGTGAGTGTTTTGTGAGCCATCATTGTCCTAGGTTATTAGCTTAGCAGAGACTTTATTAGACCTGCATTGAACTCTGATGGCGCCATCTCCCAATCTGTTGCCTCCCTTTTACATTTAAAAATGTTATTCCTCAATAAATCTTTTGCACTCCTAACTTCATCTTATCATCTGCTTTCTGGAAAACCAAAATGAAGTGCCCATTGGTGCCTGTGAAGTGTGAGTTAGAACCCACTCCTTGAAAGGAGTGTCTGCTGTTAGTCTAGGTGTGGTCACTCTTAATTGAATTACTCAAGTTGTATTACACTTTCATCCTACTTGGAGGTTTTTGAAAGAAAATCAAGACAAAATAAACATACCAAGAACAAAGATAAAATTAACTACATTTTTCAGACTTCCATGCAGCCAGGGATGTGAAGCAGAATCAGTTTTCACCAATTCTTGCACTCACCTAACATTAGAAGGTAGAAAAGAGTTGAGGTGATTTTCAGCCACTTACGCAAGCAAGCCTGTGGAATTGTGGGTGTTTCTGCAGTAGCAGTCCAGTGCCTGTCCTTTAGTTTCTTGGGAGTAGACAGATGCTGGTGGCAGTGACAATGGAGGCAGAAGTGAATTCTTGGTTCCACCGTAGCACTGATGCTGGTTCCAGGGTAGTATGAGTTTGTTAATCTAGGGATAATTTCTACAATCAGTTTCTTCAATTACTCCAACCTAATTCAATATATTAAACATTTTCTTGTAGCCTATATGAACCTTGACTTATATGCCAGAGAAACAACAAGAAAACATACAAACAACCTAGGAACATGATGTTACCCTGTGATAAATGGAAACCCAAGGCCAGCATCGTACTCACACATAGGAACACCAAGTCAAATCAAACACTGCAACTCACTCAGGACAAGTTAAACTACCCAGGCATTAGCAAAACAAATAAAACATTATTTTATTGAGACCCCTCCCATCCACAACCCATAGCAGGTAAATATTTCACCCACAGTAAAAGCAAATTGTCCTAAAGGCAATAGTGTATGAGAATTCCTGAATCATATTAGGAATCATATTCCCAAGAGAAAAGGCAGGGGAATGCATTAAGCAGGAGAAATAGCACTGCATGAAAGAAAAATTAAGGCAATATGAAATATTTTGGGCAACAGAGCAAAACTCTGTCTCAAAAAAACAAAACAATAATATGGAGAAAAAAACAGGTTCAAAAACTTAACAAACAGAATTTCTTTTTTTTCTTTCTTTCTTTCTTTTTTTTTTTTTTTTTGGACAGGGTCTTACTCTGTCACCCAGGCTGGAATGCAATGGCATGATCTCAGCTCACTGCAACCTCCTTCTCATGGGTTCAAGTTATTCTCCTGCCTCAGCCTCCTGAGTAGCTTGGACTACAGGCACATGCCGCCATACCGGGCTATTTTTTTGTATTTTGGTAGAGATGGGCTTTCATCGTGTTACCCAGGCTGGTCTTGAACTCCTGAGCTCAGGCTATCCACCCGCCTCCGCCTCCCAAAGTGCTGGGATTACAAACAAAATTTCTAAGAGTGAAAACCACTAAGTTATAACGTGCCGAAGAAAGTAAAACCGTGACTCTCATACAGATATGAAGATAAATATATGCCAAAGAGTTTATTTGATTCATTAGAGAAACAAGTAATTATAACCATTTCAAAAAAGAATGCAAAGAACAGATACATTTAGAGATAGAAAATTTTGTAATAACTGCAGAAGAGCTGGGGAAAGATTTTTCACTGTAGGGGGGAAGTAAACTGAACCTCTGCAGGATAGGACAGAATTTGTGTCAGTACATAGAATCATTTGCGTTGATATCATCTACAATTCATGAAGTTGTAAAGTAACTTCCATAGAATCTGGATCAAATAACTTGCAGGGGCGTCATCTAGAAACTGGACAATGTATAGCTTTCCACTGAAGTAAATTTTTTTCCCCCTACAAAGGTTAGGTCATTGAAAATAAAGCTAAACTAATAGGGAAAAGAAAAAAAAAACAGCTAATGAAAGATCTAATACAAACTTGTCTCAAAAATCCCCTAAATACAGCATTGTGAGGTGAGGGGATGAAAAATATATAAATAAGTTTGAGAGATGTAAAGTAAAGGGTCAAATAAGAAGCTCTGTAGATTAGGCCAAAATGTAAGCATTTTTCAGAATTCATAAAACTATATACTCAAATGGGTGAATTTTAAATATGCAAAGTGTATCCCACAAAATACACACATAAAAATAAGATACCATGTAATATCTCTCAGTTAAGCCATGATAATCTCAAGAATTGGAGAGGATGTGAGGATCAGTGAATCTCATCATCAGCTGGTGGCCACTCTGGAAAACAATATGGAAAGATCAAGGTTAATTGAAATACATGATTACCTGTGACTTGAAAACTTCCCTGCAAGGGTTTATGCTAAAGAAATTTATACATGTTAACAACGAATGTTTATTACAATCTTGTTGGGGTTTTTTGTGGGGGTGAGAGGAGTTCTGGGGGAGGGATTACTTCCAGCCTGGTACCCTCCAGTATCTTATTCAATATTGATTCATGGATATCACAAGAAAAGAATGTAGAATCTAAGAGAACAGTCTTTAGTGTCTTGCAGACATGGCTCCAAAGATTCCTAGCCGTGAGACTTTAGCAAGTCACTGAATTTCTCAGAGCCTTGGTTTATTCCTCCTTAATTTTATTTTATTTTTAAAATTAATTCATTTTTAATTTTTCCATAGGTTTTTGGGGTACAGGTGGTATTTGATTACATGACTAAGTTCTTTAGTGGTGATTAGTGAGATTTTGGTGCACCCATCACCCGAGCAGTATACACTGCATCCTATTTGTAGTCTTTTATCCCTCTCCCTCCTCCCATTCTTCCCCCCAAGTCCCCAAAGTCCATGGTATCATTCTTATGCTTTTGAATCCTCATAGCTTAGCTCCCACATATCAGCGAGAACACATGACATTTGGTTTTCCATTCCTGAGTTACTTAACTTAGAATAATAGTCTCCAATCTCATCCAGGTCGTTGCAAATGCCGTTAATTCATTCCTTTTTATGGCTGAGTGGTACTCCATCATATATATATATATCACAGTTTCTTTATCCACTCTTTGGTTGATGGGCATTTCGGTTGGTTCCATGATTTTGCAATTCTGAATTGTGCTGCTATAAACATGTGTGTGCAAGTACCTTTTTTGAATAATGACTTCTTTTCCTCTGGGTAGATACCCAGTAGTGGTACTGCTGGATCAAATGGTAGTTCTACTTTTAGTTCTTTAAGGAATCTCCACATGGTTTTCCATAGTGGCTGTACTAGTTTACATTCCCACAAGCAGTGTAGAAGTGTTCCCTGATCACTGCATCCATGCCAACATCTACTGGTTTTTCATTTTTTGATTATGGCCATTCTTGCAGGAATAAGGTGGTATCACATTGTGGTTTTTATTTGCATTTCCCTGAACAACACAAATGCCCATCAAAATGGAAAAAAAAAAAGATAAATTAAGGTACAGCTAATGGAACACTATATATATCCACATCAAACGAATTATGTGGATTCATTATCCACATCAAATGAATGGATCCACATCAAACCACCTACATCAAGCTGGTTAAATTTTGAAACATAGTTGAGTTAAAAACAATTACTGGTTAAATTTTGAAACATTGTTGAGTTAAAAACAATCAAGTTGAAGATGATGATGTACAGTTCCATCCTTACCTCATGTACATTTAAAACTTTCCAGGATATCACGTTGATTTTAAAACCTGATTGGGAGGAACATATACATCTTGAAGACAGTGGTCAACTCATGGAAAAGAAAAGCAAGTGGAGTTGGGGAGGCTCTCGTTTTGCAGCCTCCTCTGTGTAGAACATTTTATTTATATTTAAAATATATCTAAAGCAAATTCAACTAAACATTATCATTTGTGGCATCTGTATCACAGCTACATGTACTGGAAGTTATATATTATTTTATGCATTTTTCTTTATCTTTGGAATATTTCATGGAAGAAGGGAAGAAGAAAAAATGAAAGAAAAAATTTAAAAAGAAGGGAATGTCATGTTTTAGAAAATAAGTCTGAAATCAGAGGTCCTAACTAATGTTCTGGTTGGTGAGTATTTCAACCCCTTTCTCAGCAAAACACATCTCAAGAAACATAATCAGTAAGTTAAAAAATGTAGAATGAAGTGGAAACTGAATTACAGAGAAATTAACAGAAATGCAATGATCAAGGAGGAAAATGGCATAGTATGTAAATCTCAGCCCTTTGGATTTCAAAGGTCTTTAGAAACTATTAGGCAATTAGTCACTTCAAGGACTCTGGAGGCAACAAAGTTGAATCTTTCTCATTTCAGAAACTAAAGAAATAAAGTTAAAAGACTGCAACATTTGTTCAAGTTTGCAAAGGAAGTCTGTCTAGTAGGCACTAGCATTAAATTTCCCTTCTTATGTTTTTGAGACTTCAGTTCAAGTACCTTTGAAATGGTTTCATTTCTGCCTGTTTGGCTGTTCTTCCACATAAGAGGCTAACTCTTTTGACATTATTTAAGCTCCTCCTTTATTTTATCTTTTCCCAAATTCTTTCTGGGAGTCTTCCAGCACCTTCATAAGAATACCTATTACAGCCTTCTAATCATGTAATATTTTCATGCGATGCACCATATCCCAGGGTAAATATTGTCACTTCCCAAAAAACTGGGTTACAGTTAAATATGTACTCTTCCTATCATAAAAAATAACAATCCCCTATCAAGTATAATAAAATCTCAGTTTCTACTTTTATTATAGTTTTATAAAGTAAACCCATATTTGTAATTTGCAGCCCTACATTTGGGCAATAATAGTGAAATATGCTTGCTCTTAAAAGAGAAATAGGTAAAGGGAATAATTAAGGATGCTGTATGTAATTTAAAAATAAAAGACAAATCAAGAAAATACATGTAATGCACATCATATATCTGAACTACCACCTGTGTGCATTTCGTTATTTGCAAGCTGGTTTCTCTATGGCATTTTATCTACCATGAAATTATAGTTGTAAGTCTTTTAGCCACAGGGAAACAGGAGGATGTAGTGAAAAACAAAATCCTGCCAGAGAAGAGAATATGGATTGTGAAAAACATTAGAACATTTATATAAATAAAAAAATTGTAAAACTTTTTCTTGTACATCTGAGAGGTACTGTTCAAATATGCAACCTCATCATAGCTTCAAAAAAAGATAAATAGTATGGAATATAGAAAAAAAAAACAGGGTGCAGTGGCTCTCACCTATAATCTCAGCACTTTGGAAGACCTAGCTGGGAGGATTGCTTGGGTCAAGGAGTTCAAGGCCAGCCTGGGCAACAGAGCAAGACCCCCATAGCATTAAAAAAAGAAAGAAAAACAGATCAATTTCCAATAAATAACACTACTATTTAAAATATCAACTATAAATGCATATATATTCAAAATATAGATATATAATACATAGTACATATTTATGAATATATAAATATATTTATGTATATACAAAATATATATAACATAAAACATATTTTTATATATGTTAAATATAAGAAAATATAAATATATAATATAAAACATATACATATTTTTAAATATAAAAAGATTATTTTAATATTGTCATGGTCATTATTTTTAATAAAAATTGTACATGATCAATTCAAGCAAAAAAGAAAAGTAATAAAAGGCAATAAGCACACCCACACAGACATACACTTACACAGGCAATTCCATCACCCAGAATTAATCATCAAGAATGTTAAAGTTGCATTATTTCAAACATTTCTTCTTATGGATCGATAGATTAAAATATTATAAAGTGGGATACTATAAATATCATTTTAATAAAATCCCTTAAATAAAGCTTTGCATAAATTGAAGAGAATTTCCTCTCTTCCCTCTTTTTCTCTCTCTTTCCACCTCCCTTTTTTTTCTGTTGGTCTGTTTGTCTGTCTTTCAGCATTTCTGTATTTTTCCTTTCTCCCTTTCTGAGCTTCCTCTTTTCAAAGTTCATAGCATTAGGTTTTATTCCATTTCCTTTATAATTTTTGATAGTTTTTATTTTGCTGGCTTTTATTATTTTTTGGTTTATTTTATCAAGTAAAGAGACTTTTTGTAATTTGTCTTATTTCTCAATGTCAACATAAAAATAGTTTCAACCTGCTTCCCTTTTATGTATTTGGTATGGTACATACTTTCTGTTTTTTAAAATCAGTTTTTAAAATTCTTCAAAGACTTTTTATTAAGAATAAACAAAGGAAGAATTGTAAAGTTTTTAAGAAAAAGGAAGGAATAGGGCAGACCTCATAAACATTATAGAAAAAAATGAAAACTCTATTTTCTTTATAGATATATTTTTAAAATGCCATTTGAAAAGTACCTGGGACTTAAATTTTATTTGGAATTTTATATTTCATAGCATAAAAAGGAGGGACTGTGCAAGTCAGAGAAATGCAATTATAGTCAACTCTTCATATCTGTGGGTTCCACATCTGTCGACTTAACCAACCACAGATCAAAAATATATATATTTTTAAATGGACAGTTGGGTCTGTCTTGAACATTTACAGGATGTTTTTCTTGTCCAATTATTTCCTAAACAATAAGATACAGCTATTACTTACATTACATTTATATTGTGTTAGGTATTATAAGTCATCTAGAGATTATTTATTTAAAGTGTACAGAAGGATGTGCATAGGTTATATGTAAGTTCTGCACCATTTAATGTAAAGGACTTGAGCATCCATGGATTTTAATATCCACAAGGGGTCTTGGAACCAGCACCCAGGAATACCAGTGATGACTATATAGATTTTTGTTTTAAGTCTCCTGGTACTGTTTGCTGAAAATCAGGTGTTCTAGGGCAGCTTCTTAGGAATCCCAGTGCCAAAGCTTCACAGTGCCCTCATGGATGGAACCCCAGAACTGTCCATCTTAGCCATTGTAAGCTAGTATATAAACCTTATAGTGGAGAACTGATAACAAGATATAACTTGCTTTATTCTTCATTTAAGGACCATAAGCCACAGACCTTGCCAAAAGCATTTTAGTTAAAGTTTTTCAAATAAAAAAATAATAAAATTGAGCCTACAGGTATTTCACCAGAAAGTGTTAAATAATTCTCTAACAATAACAATTTTGCTCTTCATCAGTTTAAGCAATGATTAAAGGTAGATTTGGGCATTGGAAGAAACTAAACCCCCAACATGTTTAACCATAGAAAGAACCCAGTTTCATAGAGTTTATATATACATACATACGAGATTTAATAAATACATACTTTAGATAAAAATAGATTAAAATATTTTGTTATATCATTGACTCACTGCTTATATTCTATTCTATAAAATGTTTGCAGGATAGGAAAGCCATCTTTTTTAAATTAAACTTGACCCAGCAGGATGTTGGAAAGCTACATGTAAGGACAAACAGTTTAAGCAATTAAAGATCTAGGCCTTGATGGTTTGGTCTGGGAATTCAACTGCCTGTTAAATAATCATCTAATTGAGAGTGTGGAGAGGACGCTGAGAAGTCACACAGGAACAACTCTCCTGCATCTGAAATTGAGATGAATTATGTGCCTGTAAAATAGGAGGTACAGATCAAGTTACCCATTATGTTACACAAAGAATCAAGGAAACAGAGTAAGCAGGGCAGTTAGTTAAGAAAATCCATAAAATTAAAGCTCATCTGTTTGAAAATCAACTTGAACTAGACAGAGAATACCTATCATTATACGTACAGTAGGTAAATTGTGATTTGAGTGGAATGTATTTGTATATAAAGTCTTAGCCAATATAACGTCTTTTCATAAATTTTCACAAATTAGACTCTCTAAACAAGGCTGATTAAGTTTATTCTCTATCATTATCTCAGTGGTACAACAACATAAGATAAATTTTTTAAATTGTGGTACAGTGGGGTGGAGTAGAGAAGGCCACTGTTGAAGAGCCATATGGCCAGACAGGGTCAATGACTCATATGCTTCTCTACTCAAGGCTCAGTTTGGAAATTTGGGATACATCGGTTATAAAGAGTTAGAAGAATAAATTTACGTCTTGCCTTTCTGTTCCAATCTAGACCCTGATGCCCTCATGACCTTATCTATTTGGAAACTCCCAGAATAAAAGAGGAAACATTCCATTAACTCCCTTTTAATACAAGCCGTGTGCTTCCTCCTCTGTTCTGATGGGCTTCTGATTCTAAGAACGAATTGGGTCTGACTTATGCAATATCAATTGTTCTAGATATTTTACAGAAATTAATGTCAGCATTTCTCACAGGACTGGAATTTCCCACTAGCTTCTGAAGACTGGCAGAGGAAACTTAAATTTGAGAAAACATTCTCATTCAAGGGTAAACTTTCAATAGAATCTCATGCAAGCTACATTTTTACCCAGCCTTACTAAACCAACAAAAAGGCAATCTAGGAAAATATAAGAAAATGTACACTATATGTATACATTTGAAAACACAGATAACATTTTGGTTAAGAGTCATTAGAAACATATTATTTCAATAATAAAGAATTGTTTTGTTTTAAAATAATAATGAAGAAGATAATGCTGATAGTAACAACAAAAACAAAAATAATTCAGTGTTCCCCTGAGATACATATAAATTTTTGAAAAAGAATCATCACCACCAACACCCCAGGTGTTGTTATCACCTAGAGCTCAGAGATGCCGGTTTGTGGAAAAACCTGGAACTATCCCTTAGAGTCCCACAGCTCCTCCCCTAAAGCTAGGCTGGAACTTCATGGGCAACTGCTCTCCCCACGAATGTAAACTCATAACATTGAAGAAGCAATCCCCCAAAGCAATGCTACTGGACAAGAAAAGCCTATTCCACAGGGGTAAAGGGACCAATAGTAGACCTAGTCCAAATGTCTAATAGAATAAGAACTTATTTCCTTTGTAACAAATAAAGAAGGGAGTCATTTTCTGGGTTTTTCCTGATGGGGAAATGATGCAGATTAAGTGGAGAGGAATGCTACTCTAGATCAGTTCCTGGGAGCCAGGACATCTGCATGGCTGCAGGCATGGCTGACATCTCAATAGTCACATATACCATAAAGTCCAGTAGCCATAATTTATCTGCTTCATCCATGTAATGTCCCATTTCCATGGTAAAGCCCAAAACACTGCTAGCACTTGAATACTTATCTCTGAATATACTTCTAGGAGAACCAAAATTAAGATACTTTTACTATTTTTCTAACCTCCTTGTCCTTGAACGTTGCTACATTATTGAGGATGTCTCTAAACACCAACAGTGGTTAGAAATTCCTGTTATAAACCTCACAAAACTCTGTAATTTTCTTTGTATTTATTACAAGTTAATAGTGTAATTGTCTGTGTAATTATTTGTTTAATATATTAAGATCCATTGCCATATCTTAACAAATGGCTTAGCATAAGCTGGGCATTTGATAGGGCATAATATACCAACTGAATGAATAAATAAATAAACAAACCCGGGAGTTTCCATCTTCAACTGCTGTCAGTTCTACCTCCAAAATTTGTCCTTTCCATTTGTCTCCATTCCAACATGTTCCAAACTACCATATTTTCTGAAAAATAGATGCGTTCATCAGAGTGATCTGTCTGCTTCAGCCTTGTCGTTGACCAACCCAGACGTCTCCTACAAGTGGCCTCCATTGCATTTCAAATTAAATAAAAACTCCTTATTCTGACTAACCAGGCTCTGCATGATTTTACGCTTGACAGTTCCTTTAAGCACATCTCATGCTACTTTCTCATTTGCTCCTACTGCTCAAGATCCCTGGGTTTATACTCCTTCCTAGAACATGCCAAGCCCTTTCAAGCCTCAACACCTTGTCCTCATCTTCTTTTTGTCTGGAATCCTTTTGCACAACCTTCACCTGGTATTTTAAAGAGTCCTCAATTAAAAGTGATATTGTATGGATTTGTGTCCCCTCCAAATCTCATGTTGAAATGTGATTTCCAGTGTTAGAGGTGGGACCTTCTGAGAGGTATTGGATCATGCAGGAAGATCCTCATGAGTGGTTTAGCACCATTTCCTTACTAATAAGTGATTTTGTGCTCAGTTAGATCATGCAGGATCTGGTGTTTAAAGAAGAGTCTGGGACCTCTCCCTTGTCTGTCTTGCACCTGCTCTCATCATCTAATAAGCCTAATCCCACTTTGCCTTCTGTCATGATTGCAAGCTACCTGAGGCCCTCAGCAAAGGCAATTACCCGTAGAGCCCACAGAACCATGAGCCAATTAAACCTCCTTTCTTTATAAATTACCCAGCCTCAGGTATTCCCTTAGAGTAATGCAAATGGCCTAACATAGAAAACTGGTACTGAAGAGTGGGGTGTTTCTATAAAGATGCCTGAAAATGTTGAAGTGGCTTTGGAACTGGGAAATGGGTAGAAGATAGAAGAGTTTAGAGGGCTCAGAAGAATACAGGAAGATAAGGGAAAGTCTGGTATTTATTAGAGATTGGTTAACTGGTTGTAATCAAAACGCTGATAGAAATATGGACAGTGCAGGCTAGGCTGATGAGGTCTCAAACAGAAATGGGAATTACTGGGAACTGGAGTAAAGGTCACCATGTTATGTCATAGAAAAGAATCTGGCTGCATTGTGTTCATGCCCTAGAAATCTCTGGAAGTTTGAATTTAAGAGTGAGGACTTAGGGTATCTGGTGAAAGAAATTTCTAAGCAGTAAAGTTTTCAAGAAGTAAAATGTTAGAGGTGGTGCTTCTAACAGCCTGCAATCAGATATGGGATCAAAGAAATGACTTATAATAAAGTTATAACTTACATTTAAAAGGGAAGCAGAGCATAAATGTTTGGAAAATGTATAAGCTGTCCCTGTGGTACAGAAAGAATCCAAGCAGACTGTGAGGTAACCACTTGCTAGAGAGTTTATCACGACTAAAAGGGAACCAAGTGCTAATATCCAAGACAATGGATAAAAAGCCACTATTCCAGAGGGCTCAAGCCATAAGCCTTGGGACCCTGTTCCATGCATCTTGGCTGCTCCAGACACAGACACAACTCAAAGGGCCCCAGGAACAGCTCAAGCCACCATTCCAGATGCCTCAAGCCATAAGCCTTGGCAGCTTTCACATGGTGTTAAGTCTGCGGGCATACAGAATGCAAGCATGAAGGTGGCTTGGCAGCTTCTCTCTAGATGTCAGAGGATGTATTAGAAAACCTATGTGCCCAAGTAGAAGCCTGCAGCAGAGGCAGAGGCCCTGCAGAGATACTCTGCTAAGGCAATGCCAAGAGAAAATGTGGGGTTGGGGCTCCCACGCAGTCCCTGCTGGGGTACTGCCTAATGGAGCTGTGTAAAGGGGGAAGTCACCTTTCAGACCTGAGAATGCTAGATCCACAGGCAGCTGGCACCTTGTGTGTGGAAAAGCCATAGGCATTTAACTTCAATTTGTGACAGCAGCCACAGGATCTGCACCCTGCAAAGCCACAGGGGCAGAGGTGTTAAGTCTTGGAAGCCCACCCCTTACAACAGTGTGCCCTGGATGTGGGACATCCAGGGGTTATTTGGAAATTTAAGATTTAATTATCTCCCTGCTGGTTTTCAGACTTGTGTGGGGCTGATTTTTCCATCCTTTTGGTGAATTCCTCCCTTTTGGAGTGGGAATACATTCCACTCCAAAGAGACGGTGTCCCAAGGCTTATGGTTTGAGGCCTCTGGAGTGTAGCCTTTTCCCCATTTTTTTTTTTTTTTTGGATATTAACACTTGGCTCCCTTTTGATTATGCTAATCTCTCTAGGCAGCTTGTGCTGCCATTGGCAGCTTCTCCCCGTATTTCAGAGGATGTGAAGCAGTGTCCCAAGGCTTATGGCTTGAGCCCTCTGAAGTTTTTTTTCCCATTGTCTTAGATATCAGCACTTGGCTCCCGTTTAGTCATGCTAATCTCTCTAGGCAGCTTATACCACCATTGTATCTTATGAGTAAACGACTTGGTTTTGATTTTATAGGTTCATAGGTGGAAGGAACTTGTCTTCAATTTCAAATGAGACCTTGTACTTGGGACTTTGGAGTTAATGCTGAAACTTGGGGGACTACAGCAATGGGATTATTGTATTTTGAAATGTGAGAAGAACACAAGATTTAGGGGGTCTGGAGCAGAATGATATGGTTTAGATGTTTGCCCACTCTAAATGTCATGTTGAAATGTGATTCCCATGTTGGAGTCAGGGTCTGGTGGGAGGTGATTAGATCATGGGGGGTAGGTCCCTCATGAATGGCTTAGCACCATCTCCTTCATGACAATCGAGTTCTCTCTCAGTTCGTTAATGCAAGATCTGGTTGTTTAAAAAGAATCTGGAAACTTTCCCTTCTGTTCTTGGCTTCCACTCTTGGCATGTGGCATTGTCTGCTCTCCCTCTGCCTTCCATGATTGTGAGATTTTGAAGCCCTCAACAGAGTCAGATGCCAACACTATGCTTTCTGTACAGCCTACAGAAAGAACCATGAGCCAATTAAACCTTTTTTCTTTATAAATCACCCAGCCTCGGGTATTTCTTTATGATAACACAAACAGCTTAACACAAAAGAAATATTAATTAGGATATGGCCAATAATCAGCAAATAAACAAAAAGATATCTGGATACCCAAGGAAATATTACTATCCCTAGATATGAAGGGACAAAGGGAGGAATTGCTAATACCAGAACCCACAGATATTTGAAGCTTTCTTTAAAGAAAGACACATTATTACCACAACTTCTGAGCTGAGATAGAGAATATGCAAGGGAAGGAATACCTTGACATCCTTCTATTCCTACCCTTCTATTTCCTACCAGCATCTCATTGGTTGAACAGATAGGAAGCCAGGAAACCAGAAACCCCAAGTGATGATTGCAAAAGTCAGTTTCACAGGCTACAAAGAAGGAAAAAGTAGGGTGGGGAAGAGTTATAGGAGAGCAAACAGAAAGTAGTCAGCAACAAAAAACCACTAGACAGTGCTCGAATCTTATACTCAGGAACCTGTCTTACTCTCCAGGTGTGGAGTTTGGCAATCTTTGCTGAGGTAAAAATTCTGCATAATTTTTCTAAATTACTAAAACTTTAATTTTAACCTAGAACAGGAATTTAAGTATAGCGTCAATGTCATTTTGTTCAATCCTAGGAAATTAAAGTCTTCCAAAAAGGCATTGAAATCAAAATGTTAAAAGTTGGATTGCATGTTCATATGGAAGCAGCGTTATCATCTAGTACAGCTTTGAAGATCAAGAGTTTGTCTGCAAGTGTGGAAGAAAAATGGTTATAGATGTGATATACTAAATGGTTTAATCAAATATAGTATACCAACAACACATGTTATGGCTTTCTAAAATATGCCCAAATCAAATGCTTACAAATAACTTGGCAGGATGCTTTATTGAGATACACAATAGGGTTTATGTTAGGGCTCTACTTATCTTTTTACAAAATTCTAAACACAATGAAGAGATATTTCAGAGGATGAACAGAGGAGGGATAATTTTGAGGGTCATAAATTGTAAATACAGGCGTGAAACATTTTCTGGAGATTAGGAGGAGACAATGTCATCTATAACTCATGATTACATTATCATCTATGACCCAGTCTTTGATCCTAGACACTAAACACCCAAGCAGGGAGAGAATCCAGGGACAGAGAAGCCAAGAGGAAAATAGTGGCAAAGTGACTGAGAAGCAAATCTTCCAGAGCTGTATAGAAGAATTTAGAATTCAGGACCTGCCAAGGAGAAAGAGAGTTGATGGTTCTCAGACTTTCAGGTGAGATCCCTGAAGGCTTAAAACTTAGTTATTAATCCTGGTCGAAAATTAACAAACTATTATAAGGATTAAACCCAGGTTGACTCCACCCAGTCTTGGGCTAGATTAACTTTAACCACATCTATCCAAACTGTCTGCCAAAGGCACGCATAAATCCTGTCTGGAGGATTTTCATTCACAAATTCTTGACTGCAATCAAGACTTATTTTTCGGAGCCAGGTGTGGTGGCTCATGCCTGTAATCCCAGCACTTTGGGAGGCCGAGGTGGGCGGATCACGAGGTCAGGAGATCGAGACCATCCTGGCTAACACAGTGAAACCCCTTCTCTACTAAAAATACAAAAAATTAGCCAGGAGTGGTGGTGGGCGCCTGTAGTCCCAGCTACTAGGAAGGCTGAGGCAGGAGAATGGCATTGACCCGGGAGGCGGAGCTTGCAGTGAGCTGAGATCCTGCCACTGCACTCCAGCCTGGGCGACAGAGCACGACCCCGTCTCAAAAAAAAAAAAAAAAAAAAAAAAAAAAAAGACTTATTTTTCACAACATAAGACAAGACAAAGTGATCAAAAATCAAAAGAAAAAATAGTTATTAGGAAATATCCTCAATAGTCCTAAATACTAGTTAATATTTTCAAAAAATAAAATACAAAACAGAGAATTTGCAAAAATATTTAGGATCTTTGAAACAAACTAAGTGGAAATCTTAGAACTGAATAACACATTTACTAAAGTAAGGAATTCAATTCAATAAATGCATTTAACAACAGATAAACATAGGTGAAGATAAACATAAAATTGTGCAAGAAAAGATAAGCAGTAAAAAATACTCAAACTAAAGCATTTAAAAAACAGAATGAAATATATAAAAGAGTATAATACATATATAGAAACTTAAAAAATTATGCAACTGAAGTCCTAGAAAAAAGAGAGGGAAAGATAGTGAAGAAGTATTATGTGAACATGTATTGACTAAGAGTTTTACCCCCAAAAATGAAAAACATCAAGCCAAAAATTCATAAAAGTACTGTGAACACCAAGCAGGATAAGTAGACAAAGAGAAACACTCCTAGGCATACAATAGTAAAATTAGTCTAAAACCAAGAACCAAGATAATGTTAAAATTAGTCAGATAAAATAATTCATTAAACATAGTAGAAAACTTCAAAGTGATAATGGAAAATAATTGCTAACTTAGAATTCCAAACTGTGAATCTCTCTCTGTCACCCTGGCTGGAATACAGTGGCAAAATCACAGCTCACTCCAGCTTCAACCTCCCAGGCTCAAGTGATCCTCCCACCTCAGCCTCCTAAGTAGCTAGAACTACAGGCCCATGCTACTAAGTCTGGCTAATGTTTATTTTTTTGTAGAGACATGATCTTGCTTTGTTGCCCAGGCTAGTATCCAATTCCTGGGCTCAAGTAATCCTCCTATCCCAGGCTCCCAAAGTGTTGGGATTACAGGTGTGAGCTACTGCACACAGACAAGTATTCTTAATTTTTAAAAATCAGACAATGCTAGAAATTATTTTTCATCAGCGTATCTACACAAAATGTTACATGTCAGTGTTAACAGGAGTTTTTTTAGGAAGAAAATTATCCTAGATGGAGGCATGGAGATTAACAAAGGACTGAAAAGCAATGGAAAGAGTGAATATATACATAAGTGCAAACGAATATTGATAGTACAAATAAAAATAACAATGTCTTGTGGGTTTGAATTGCGCATATAATTAAAATATTTGAAAAAAATTGCAAAAATGACAGAAAGAAGTAATGGAAGTTCAAGTGTTCTAAAGTCCTCAAATATCTGAGAAGTAGCAAAGGAATAAATTTTAACAGACTCTAGTAAGTAAAGAATGGATATTGTTATCTCAACAATATATAATTAACATGGTAAAATGGTGAAAATAAAAAACCTTGCTTGATTAATCCAAAAAAGGCAAAAAAGTAGTAAAAACTTACAGACTATAAGACAGGTAATACAGGGCGACAGAGCGAGACTGTCTCAAAAAAAAAAAAAGAAAGGTAATACAGAATAAAAAATAAGATGATAGATATAAAGCATATATATAAATAACTCCATTCAATATAATTTGAATAAATAATTAACCAAAATTATCAGAATGATTTTAAAAACAACTAGAGCATGACTTTGCTATATGTTGCTCAAAATGTTCATTTTGTAAGAATAAGAAGGTTTACAAGAAAATATAAGAAAAAATGTATATTCTAAAAACCAAAATTAAAAAAAAAGTGGCATGGCTATATACTAAGAGACAAAATGAAGTTTAAGGAGAAAGAAATGTTGAAGATAAAAAGGGATGTTTTATAATGTAAAAAGAGTTTGATCCTTCAAGAAAATAAAACAATTTTATTTTGTATCTAAGTATATAGCTTGAAAATACATAAAAGCAGAAAAATGACAGAACATAAGAGAAAAAACAAGCAAACCAGAATTTATTTTGAGAGATTCTGACACAATTGTCTTTGTAGCTGGTAGAAAAGCACACGAAAATTACAAAGAATATAAAAATAGTTAAACAATATCATTAACAAACTTAACCTAATTGTCATGTAGAGAACATTGCTATCAATGGTTGCAGAACATACCTTTTTTTTTCTTTTTTAAAAAATGCACATAAGAATCTTGGCCCATATATAAATTCTCAACAAATATCATGGATTAAAGTAAGACAAATATTATTCTGTGATCAAAGTGGTATTAAGTTTGAAATCAATGAAAATAAAAGCAAGAAAATATACATATCTTTGGAAATAAATTAATATACTTCTAAATACCTTCACAAATCATATCTGGAATTAAAAAGGAAATTAGAAAGTATCACAAAATACATTATACTGAAAACAGGACATTAAAATGTTACAGTTAATGCTGTTTTGAAGTAAATTTATAGACTTTTACATATATTTTAAAAAGGAAAATGGTTTAGAATCAATTATCTCAGTTTAGCGCCTAAGAACTTTAAAATGATACCAAATTAAACAAAAGAGAAAACAGAATGTAAGGTATAATAAATATAAAAGTGAAAATTAATGAAATAGAAAATGATTATACCACAAAAAAGTTTCTTTGAAAAGACATAAATTCAACAAGAATTATGAGAAAATACATAAATCACCAACATCAGAAACAAAAAGGAGATATCACTATAGATTCCACATTACTGAAAGTTTTATTTTAATACATTTAAAGTTTTATGTTACTAAAACCTAGAAAAATGTAATATACAAAATTGCCTAAAGAGAAATTTAAAAATCTAAATATTTCTATATCTATTACAAATTTGAAACTGTATTTTAAAACCCTACCACAAAGAAATTTCAGGGTGAGATGTTTATACCAGGAAATTTTATAAGTACTTAAGGAAGTAAGAGGTTGAATTTTACTCAAACTCTTTAAGAGAATAAATAAAGAGAGATACTATCTTCTGAGGCCATCATAACCTTGATAACAAAACCTGCTAAGGTAAATTACAGAAAGAAAAATTTCAAACCAATCTCTCTCATAAGCATTCAAAAATTCAAATAAAACATTAAAAATCCATATTCAGTGATATCCAAATTCAAAACATGTATAATGATCAAGTTGACTTTATTCTGGGAATGTGGGTTTTACCAGTCAAAAATCAGTCAATGAACTATGTCTTAACAAAATAAGTGTAAAACATGATCATTTCAAAAGGTACAGAATTGTTAAAAATAAAAGCCAAAATTTATCCATGATAAAACTCTTAACAAATTAGGAATGCAAGGAACATGCCTAACATAATACAAAATCTCAAAGCAAACATCCACTTACACACACCTAATGATAAAATAGTGATACGTTTCCACTAAGGTCAAAAACAACAAAAAAAGGTTGTATATTCACATTTCCATTCAACATTGAGCTAGAGGTCTTAAAGTACAGTGAACCAAACAGACAAGAATTAGGGGAAAAAAGGATAACATTGTATTTATTTAGAGACTATATGATTATTATTAAGTAAATTTATCATGACATCCAGATACAAGGTCAATGTACAAAAAATTTATTGCTTTCAATTTATCAGCAAAAAATGTTAAAATGAAGTTTATAAAATATACCTTTTATAATAGCCTTAAAAATCAAACAAATTAGAATAATACTAATGAAAACTGTTCAACAACTCTACACAGAAAAAGAAATAAGAAGATAAGAGTAAATGGAGAAATATGCCATACTTATAATATATTAGGATACTCAAATTATTCTGCAGGTTTAATTCAATTCTAATCAAAATTTCCTCATATTATTTGATTGTATGTATTTGTGTGTATATTCAGAGACTAATTCTAAAATGCATATTCAAATGTAAAAGTTCAAGGATATATAAAAAAAGGAAATTTGTAGAAGAGCATATTTGAAACCCTTACACTACTAGATTTAAGGATATTATTCAGCTACAATACATAAAATGGTGCGGTAGTGGCACAACCATATACAAATAGGATAATATAACAGAGCACCCAGAAACAGACACACATCTACATGGACACTTGAGTAAGACAAAGGCAGTACTGCATAGTAGTGGGGAGAGGATAGTCTTTTCAATTAGTTGTGTTGGATTAACTGGATATTTACATGAAAGAAAATGAATTTTGACCTTCATACCACACTAATTAACAAATAACTGAGTGATTTTACATCCAAATGTGAACTATAAAACAGTAACACTTTTAAAAGAAAACATGAGACTATACTTGTGATCTTAAAGTACACAAACTATCCTAAACAAGATGCATTAACCATAAACGGAAAAACATAAATACATTTTAGACTACATTAAAATTTAGAAGTTCCCATAATTAAAACACACCATTAGGAGCATGAATAAGAAAGCTGTAGAGTAGGAAAAGACACATACCATATGTATAATTGACAAAGGACTTGTATACAGAATGTATACAAGTTCCCACCAATCTATAAGAAAAAGAGACTAGCTAATACAAAATTGATGAGAGAGGTATTTCACAAAAGAGGATATCCAAATAATCAAAATGGATATATAATAATACGTTCAACTTCATTAGTTATAAGGGAAATGCAAATTAAACCATAATATATACCCATCAGAATAGTTAAAATTAAAAGCACTGACCATCTTTTGTGTGGGGAGCAAGTAGAACATACGTACATCATTGGTGGAAGTATAAACTGGTATAACCACTGCAGAAAATTACTTGAATGTGTACATAATATAGATATAACTCATGATCCAGCAATTCCACTTGTAGGCATGTACCATAGAGAAATGCTTACCAAAATACAGGTACAAAATTGTGCAAAGTACTATTCCTAAGACACTCAAACTGGACACAATACACATGCCCACCAATAACAGAGTAGCCATAAATTGTGACATACACAGCAGAAGATATGGCAATGAGAGATAATGAAATGACTACTATGTGAAACAACTTGAAAGAATTATTAGAAATATAATGTTATATGAAGGAAGCCAGTGCAAAGGGATCCATACTGTATGGTTCTACTTGTATAAAATATACAATCAAGTGCAACTGAATTATGTTGTCAAGAAAGTAGTCATTAATAAGGAATAGTGTGGATAATTACTGGGAAAGGTCAGATAGCATTCTGATATTCTTGTGCTATGATATTTCCTAATCTGGTAGATTTACGAGGGTGTATTTACCATGTAAAAATTGTATGGACATTAATTTTATATGTGAATATTATATATGATATATAAAATACACACATATATGTGTATATATATAATTTATCACTATGTAACAAATGGTTCCAAAACTTAGCTGCTTACAACATCAAGTACTTAATATCTGGAGGGTTAAAACTCTGGTAGTAGCTTAGTTGAGTGACCATGGCAGCTCAAGATCTCTCATGAAATTTCAGGCAAGATGACAGCTGATACTGCAGTCACCTAAAGGTTTGACAGACAATGGAAAGTCTGCTTTCAAGATGGCTCACTTATATGGCAGTTGGTTAGAGGCTTCAACTCCTTGCCTATTGGTAGGATGCCTCAGTTCCTTACTACGTGGGGCTCTGCCATAGGAATGCTTGGTGTCTTAACAAAATGGCAGCTAAGTTTCACCAGAATGAATAATACAAGAAAGTGCAGAAAGGAAACCACAGTGCATTTTGTGACCTCATCTTGAAAGTCATGCATTGTCAATTCTGCCTTACAAATTATTTAAAAGAGAATAAATTCAGCCCATACTTAAAGGGAGAGGAATTAAGTTCCACCTTCCGAAGGGACTGTGGAAAAAATATATGGGTGTATTCAAAACCGTAACTACACAAACACACACACACATACACACACAAATACATTTTATTCCAACTAAAAATTACTTTAAAAGCATTCAGCAAAAATTACACTAAAATAAACTAAAGAATGACAAGCTCATTTTATCCCACTACATTAACTATAAACTAAGAAATGCTAGAATGAAAAATACAAAGACTATATGCAAATTACATATCTGATTTTAAAAAATTGGTTCCAGAATATATAAAGAACAATTAAAACCCAATACAATTAACAACCTAATATAAAATAAGCAAAGATTTGAAGAAGCACTTCATAACATAAGGTAGGTGTATGGCAAATACGTATATTAGGAAGTACATCATTAGTAATTAGGTAAAATTGAAACCACAATCAGAAACCATTACTTTATCAGAATGGCTAAAATAAAATCTTCAAAAATGACGATACCAAATGCCATCAAAGACACAAAGCAACTGGAAAACACACAGTGCTGACTGGAATGCAAAATAATACAACCACTATGTAAAACAATTTAGACATATTTTATCAAAATAAATATACATTTACCATCTGCTCAGTAACTCCGGTCCTAGGTATTTAAAAAAGTAAAATTCAACCTTTTGATCACATAAAATGCTTCTACATGAATGTTTATGGCTTCATCTGGAATCACTCAAATTGTAAACAACCAAATATCCACCAGCTGGAGAGCAAATCAACAAATTGTATATCTATACAATGAAATAATACTCAGTAATATAAAGGATGAATGATTGATTAAAAAGAACATGACTAAATGCAGATGCATTATGCTAAGGAAAAGAAGTCAGGCTCAAAAGACTGGAAATCTATTGATTGCACACTCTGAAAAGCAGAAAACTGTAAGGATGAAATAAAGATTACTGGTTGACAGAGTTTGGGGGTAGAGGGAAGGGATGAGACCACAAAAGGTATGAATAATTTTTAGCATGATTGAGCAGTAATAAGTCTTGATTGTGCAGTTGGTTACATGGCTATGTATATTTGCCAAAATCCAAAGAACTATACATTAATAAGAGTAAGATTTACTGTATGTAAATTATACCTTAATAAAAATTGTTGAGAATAGGAAGCTAGACAAGATTTATTAATATAATTCTATGGTTTGAATACTTGTCCCTTCCTGCATTCTATTGAAATTTAATAGCCATTGTAGCAGTATTAAAAGGTGGGGCATTTAAGAGGTGATTATATGCATGAATGATTTATGCTACAATTACATGGGTGCATTTGTTATCACAAGGGTGGGTTCCTTATAAAAGGACAAGTTTGATCCCCTGCTGTTTCTCTCTTGCCCTTTGTCTTTCCGTCATCTGTTCCTTTGCCCTTCTACCATGCCTCTGCCCTGCTATGATACAGCAAGAAGGTCCTTGTCAGATGCCATCACCAGGATCTTGGACTTTCCAGACTCCATAGCTGTTCCACAGGAATAAATTTATATTCATTACAAATGATCCAATCTGTGATATTTAGTTACAGCAACAGAAAAGAAACTAAAACATATTGTTCCTTATTTTTGGTGATTTCTATGAAAAAATATTTCCATTAATAAAACTGATGACAAAAAGTTAAAAATACATTTTATTCATTAAGTAATATAATTTTGTTCTTAATCCATGTAGTAAATCTGTAAAGACTTACTTAGTTGATTTATTGCCTCTTCATTTTCATTTTGACTGAGAAAACTAAGATGTTGAGAGGTTAAGGGATATATTAGCTTTTGCCAAATAATAATCCATCCCAAAACTTAGTGGCTTAAAACAACACCCATTTCTTTAGTTTATAATTTCTGTGGGTCAACAATTTGGGCTGGGCTTAGCTGGGTGGTTCTCCTCATCTTATCTGGGCTCATGCACGTGTCTGTGATCTACAGCCAGGTTGACTGTGGGTTGGATGGTCTAGGATGGCCTGAGTTTGGATAGCTATTTTCTATTCCATATAGTCTCATCCTCCAACAGGATAGCCTATTGGAGGCAAAAATAGAAGTTTACTGGAAAGGAGAGAAACACGCAAGAACTCCTAAGGTCTAGGCTCAGAAATGGCACCGTGTCACTTCTCAGACATCCCTCTGATCAAAACAAATCACAAGGTTATCCCAGTGAAAGGCTGAGAAAATAGTTCTATGTCTTGATATAAAAGACCAGTAGCATACAAGGGTGAGAAGATGTAGGAGCTGTCCACCCTGGAGCAGGCAGAGATAAATTATATTCAAAGCACTTAAAAAGCAATAATAAAACCAAATAAGAATCTTCCTGCTTTTAGCCTGGGCACGGTGGCTCAAGCCTGTAATCCCAGCACTTCGGGAGGCCGAGGAGGGCGGATCACGAGGTCAGGAGATCGAGACCACCCTGGCTAACACGTGAAACCCCGTCTCTACTAAAAATACAAAAAATTAGCCGGGCGTGGTGGCAGGCGTCTGTAGTCCCAGCTACTCGGGAGGCTGAGGCAAGAGAATGGCGTGAACCCGGGAGGCGGAGCTTGCAGTGAGCGGAGATCCCGCCACTGCACTCCAGCCCGGGGGACAGAGTGAGACTCTGTCTCAAAAAAACAAAAAACAAACAAACAACAACAAAAAAGAATCTTCCTGCTTTTTATTATCACCATATACCAAGAATTCTAGAGTCAGTCATACAACACTTCTCCCTGCAGGAATGGACTTCTCTCCCAGCCTCTCTCTGTTTGGTACAGAGGTGCTGTAACAAAAGTAACATCATCAGGATTAAATGCAAGTCCTGACTTCAAACCCAGATGCGCTTGCTGGAAGTTCTTTTCCTGCTTACTTGCCCAATCTATCTCAGAAGGACCTACTAGAATGAACCTATTAATGCAATTTAAAAGACCACTTTGTTTTCCCCTAGATATCTTTATTTAGCTTGTCTTATCTAACTTTGAACAATCAATCCTCTAACTTAAAACATTCATTAAAGTCTCTAGTTACTATAAAAGTTAAACTTTATTTGACACATGTTGGAACCCCCTTAGGCCACTTTAAATTACAAATACTTTGATACAAAATAACTTACCAGATTTACCATCACACAGTGCAAGACTGAAATAATAAGATTTGATCAAGACCGATAAATCAAACTAACATAAAGGAGAAACTACAGAGAAACCACAGTCCAGGTGCTCTTGCTAGAAAGCAACCAAGATGTGACAACAAAGTGAGAGGCTAAGTTTAACTTATATTTTGTGTAAATTACAAGTCAATCTTTCTGACTATGGGTAGATGCAGGATGATAAAACAGGTGCATTGCTCCAAGGTTTTACCTATAACAAACTAAAATATACTGTACACCTATTTCCCATGAGCATGTACCACGGGAAATTGAAAGAATACTAATCAGGAAATTTAGACTGTGCTAAATGAGCTAATGACATGAGTCTGTGTGGACTGTTCAGAAAACACAAGTAAAATGCCTACCTTTTATAATTTCTATACCTCCATAGTAAGCTCTGTGGTCAGTGACTTCAAACTACTGTTTGCAATTATGATATTGTCTTTTACTCATCTCTACTTTAGCATATGTTATTCCTTCTGCCATGCACTCCCACCTCTTTCCCGATTTTCACCACGTAAAATTCTGTATCTGCTTGAAGAATCAGTTGAACTGATATCTCCTAAGATTACGTTTCTCTTCCCCAAGCTGAGTTTTCCTCCTTTATGTTCCCATTGTGATTTTTTCTATGTCTCTATTATAGACTGTATAATGACTTATAGATTTCTGCCAACAGGCTTATCTCTTTGACCCAGCAGCTTCGAATTTTGAAATTCTCAGGGGCTCAAAGGCCATAACTTTCCCATTTAATAAAAACTTTCAATATGAAATATACCATGATAAATAACTGAAGAATGAAAAGTACAGACAACAATTTGAAGAGTATCAACATCACATGAATGCAGTTCATAGTTGTTTTGTTTATATTGACCTGTTGCAGTAATATAGCAAAAGTGAAAACTGAAGTCAAAGTCACATGATTTCAGTTGCATGACAAAAGGCCAGATGAACAAGGACCAGAAAGAAGAGAATAATAAATTATCTTTTTTTTTTTTTTAACTTTCATTGTGATTAGAGACTTACAGAAATCTTTGGAACAATGTTTGCAAGTTAAAAGTGATGATTAAATATATTTTCTTAATTTGAAAGGTAAATTTAAACTCTCTTCATTTTTAACATCTGCTTAATACTTCAACAGGTCACTGAAAATAATATCTCTTACAAATTATATCTCTTACAAATTTCAAAAGTACAGTTGTGGTCTACTTTAAATAAACCCAATAATGATAGCCCAGATTTATCCACAGAGAAGATAATATACACACAAAGCACATTATAAACGGATGATTAACAAACAATTCACCATAAGATTTTTTCATACAGCAAACTCCAGTCATCACTCTAAAATGTGGTTTTATTTATGAAAATAAAATTTAACCACAACTTCTCCAGAATATAGTAATTATACAAATTTACAGATATCTTCCCAACCAACCAATCTCACCTAGAAATGAAAATATTCACTTGTGTCTAGGGTACCATTAAGCACTTAAACCTGTTCCAGCCTATTCATGTTTACCACAAGCTTGAGGAATGAAGCCATGTTATGGGGGGAAATACGCTATTTTTTTAAGAAGACTGATTGCTATATTAAAGCCTTTTGAGAAAAGTATGTGAATGTTATGTGTGGCTTGGAAAAGTTGCTCTATGGAGATATTTTATGTAATACTCAAGTAAAAACCATTTTAGGTGATTCCACTAAAGGAGCAGCAAAAACAAATTGGAAAAAAGCAGAAAGGTTAGGTGGCCAGCTTTCAAAAGTTCAAAGATTGGCCAGTGTTAATTCAAATCACTGACATTCCACTACTGCGTTACTATCTTCTTGGTTTGCACACAAAGAGTTTACATTACTTATTATGCCCCACAAGTAGAATATATTATGTGGATAAAGAGAGAGGGAGAGAGAGAAGCAAAACATAGCATTAGGTTGGTGCAAATTAATTGCAGTCTTTGTAATACTAATGGAATAGATGCTAATGGAAAGAGACTGAATACTAATAGGGACTGAAACAAAAAAAGAGGTAAAGAGATGCAGAGAATGAGAGACAAAGTAAAAGAATGAGACTGAGAAAATACATAATAGTGTGTAGAAATACACACTCATATACTCATATACACACTCATGAGCCACCACTCAATAGGCCGGGTGCGGTGGCTCATGCCTGTAATCCCAGCACTTTGGGAGGCTGAGGCAGGCAGATCACCTGAGATCGGGAGTTCAAGACCAGCCTGACCAACATGGAGAAACCCGGTCTGTACTAAAAGTACAAAATTACCGGGTGTGGTGGCGCATACCTGTAATCCCAGCTACGCGGGAGGCTGAGGCATGAGAATCACTTGAACCTGGGAGACAGAGGTTGCAGTGACCCAAGATGGTGCCATTGCACTATAGCCTGGGCAACAAGAGTGAAACTCCGTCTCAAAAAAAAGAAAGAAATACCATAGCTCATACACATACACAGTCTTATGTATCAGTTTTCTATTGCTGTTATAAGAATTATCACAAATTTATTGGCTTAAAATAAATGTGTTATTTTTCAGTTCTGTAGGTGAGAAGTCTGGTGTGGTATCATGGGGTTGTAATCAAGGTGTTGGCAAAGCTATGATCCTTTCTGGAGGCTCTAGGGAAGAATCTGTCTCCTTTCTCATTCAACTTGATGACAGAAGCCTGTTCCTTTTGGTTGTAGGTCTGAGGTCCCCATTTCCTGGTTGACCATCAACTGAGGGCTATCCCTAGCTTCTTAGAGGCCACCTGCTTATTTGGCTTGTGTCTGCCTTCATCTTCAAAGCCAGTAATGATGGCAAGTTGATTCATCCTCCTACCTTATCTCCCTCTGACTCTTTGACCTCTTCCTCTTCTGCTTTTAAGGGCTGAAGTAATTGCATTTTCTCTCCTGAATAATCCAGAATAATCTCTCTTTTCTGAGATGAGCTGATTACCAAATTTAATTCCATCTGCAAAGTCTCTATTTCCATGTAATGTTAACATGTTCCCAGGCTTAGGATATTAAGGCATAGATATCTTTGGGGTAGGGGCATTATTCTACATAACAAGGTCTATTTAAATAGAATACTAGAATATCTATATTTAACCTATTTTTCTCAATATATATATCATGTATTGATCTGTTTGTCATTCAATGAAATAACATAGCTACCCAGCATCTAATGATGACATTTTAATGCAAGTATCTGATGTCACAATGATTTCAACGATAAAATCTTTAAAGGATCTAGGAAAATTTGATCATCAAAAGAAATAATGATAGTAAAAGTCATAATCCATAGCATAAAATAAAAATCTATGAGTTCATACAAAAATAAACAAATAAACAAATAAATGGTAGGGAAGAAAGAACCCTTCCTTAGAGTAAAATTCCAAGTAAGAAATGCAGAAGATACGATAGATATAGAGGCTCAAAATGTGTCAAACAATTTAGCAAAAATTGCTTCAGAAAAATATCAACAGTGAGTGCTAAGTCTACTGGGTGTTGAATAGATATAGACCATAGATATTCCTATGGTCTCAAGTCCCACCTTTCAAGACATTTAGTAACTAAAAAGGGAAAATAGTAACTTTAGTGCAAAGAAATCTGACAGTCACTACCTTAAACAAATGATGAAAGTGATCATCACCAATAGTTGAAAAAATAATAATCCTGAGCCTGTAATATGATATACTGAGAATAACACAGCATTCTAGCTATGGAACTACTTCCACAATTATCACACAAATTTAATTAAGAGGGCACGTTAGGCAAAACCAAATTGAGAGACATTCTATCAAGCAACTGGTCCATATTCCCCAAAGATTCCAAGGTGATAAAAGAAAAATAGAATTGTTCTATATTAAAGAAAAAGAGACAGAACCAATCACTATAATGATCTCTCCTGGATTGGATCCTGGATAAGAAAAACTCATGTACTTTGCAATAAAGGATATTGTTAAAGCAGATGAAAAGATTTGAATAAGCTCTGTATACTAGAAACTACTATTAAATTAATAATGATTTCTTTATTTTGATTATTATACTGTAATTGTGTTAAAGAATATCCTAGTTTTAGGAAATATATGCAAATATTTAGTGGTAAAGAGATACTATGTATTCATCTCAAATTGAGGCTATCTCTCATATAAATACATTTTTTTAAATTCCTTTAGCAGTCTCCTTCTTTGTCCATGGATACTACTGTCTTGAATGGAATGGGCACTGGAGGCTTGTTAAATCACTACGTATGCCCATCAAAAAGAAATTGACAATGCCATGTGTTGGCCAAGATATGAAGCAGGTCACATTCTTCTAAATTATGGATTTGAGAATATAAAATAATACAATCACTTCAGAAAACTGTTTGGAAGTTTCTACTAATGTTAAGCATACACTTACCCTATGACCTGTCATTGCACCTCCAGGGATTTACCCTGAAGAAATGAGTGCATATATTTCACAAATTGACTTGTACACGAATAATTACAGCAGCACTATTTGTAAGAGCCCCCAAACCAAAAAAAAAAAAAACCCTCAAATGACCAATGGTAGACAAAGAGATAAACTAATTGTGGCATACTAGTTATGAATATACCATTGTGTGAAATTCATTTATATAAAAATTGTACAAACTTCCCCACAATGGGAAAATAGTAATTTTAATGCAAAGAAACATGACAGTTACCACCTTAAACAAATGATGAAAGTGATCATCACCAATATTTGAAAAAACAAGCATCCAGAGCCTCTAATATGATGTACTGAGAAGGACACAGCATTTTATCTGTGGAACTGCTTCTACTGGTCATAACATAAATTTAATTCACAGGAAATTTCATTTATACAAAAATTATATACATGAATTTTACACAATGGTATAGTCATACAGCAAAATTGTGTGAATGAAATCAGCAATAAACAAGGACAATCAAAACACATAGTGGTGTAGATAAATCTCACAAATATTATGCTGAACCAAAGAACCCAGACCAAAAAAAGAAAAAAAGGTATGTAATATTTAATTCCATATGTATAAAATTCAAGAAAAATAAATAAACTAATTTATGTTAATAAAAATTCAGAGTCTCAGTTGACTTTGGAAGGAAAGAGGGCATGGATCAGAAAGGGTACAAAAGAAGTTTCTGGGATTGTGAAATGTTTCTGGTGATCTGAGTGACAAAGATGTACATTTTTCAGCATCCATCAAGCTGTATATGTAAAATGTATGCATTTTACTCAATGTAAGTCAAATTTCAATAAAGTACCGTTAACATGAATAAAAACCTATGGCTGCCTAGCCACATGCTCTTTGCTTGTGAGATTCACTCGCCCTTTTGACAATTAGCAAGCAAGAGCCTTCACCACCTCAACCACTTGCCTAGTAAATTAAGGAAAGGCTACGTTTACAAAAAGTTTCTGTCCATTGGAAAACAGTTACTATTACTTCTCAAATAATAAAAAGTCCTGGCATATGGACTAACTGAAGACTCACTGTAATGTAACCAAATCATCTCAATTATTTATTGGAAGACAGAGTTTGAAGAGCTATGACTCTTTTCACAACTAGGAACCTATATTCCCTGAGCTGCTTTTAAGCTTCATCTGGCCTGTGTGGCAGCAGGCCGTATAGGTCACCTGCACAAGTGTCCAACAAGGTGAGTTTCTGAAGAAAGTAAAAAACACAGGAACTCCTCTCACAGAAATAGTTGCCTAGAGATAGTTCTGTGCCTGAGAATGAAATGCAAATTTGTTTCCAGTAGCCTGAGGTGGGATAGTGGTTTTTATGGTTTTGCTTCAGAACCTGATGAAAATTGGGAGTGAGTTCATCTCTTTTTATAAGGTTATTTAGTGAGGTTTTCCAACATGATCTAATCTTGCCTTGGAAAATGAACTAAAAGGAGTTGACTGGTTATTAGGAATGAGTTCACTAGCCCCACTTAACAGCCATCCAAGTGGATGTCTTCATGCAAGTCTCGAGGTTGCTCCTGTCCCGGCTGGGTTCAGGGACCTCCCTTTGACTTCAGAGGGACTTCCCAGGGCAGAACAGGGAAGAATCGCATCCAAGGTCTTTCATATTTTAAGTGTGCTTTTCTTTCCATTACCTACTCCTACTTCCAGAGCTGTATAATTTAACTTCCCAAATTAAGACCGGGTTCCAAACCTATAACCTCTGCTCACTCTCAGACACAATCTATTGTACTTGACTTCAAAACAACATCAACACATCTATTTTTTTTTATTGAAATTATATAGGTGGCTGTACTAATATTAAACCTTTCCAAAGCATACTCGATGTGAGTGAAAAGCAACCATACTGGTCTAATAAAATTAACCAACTTCCATAGTTAAAGGGGTAAAAATTGAAAGAATCTGGTTCGACAATATTTTGCATGCTGGTTTATAAGTTCTCCCTCAGTGAGCTGAGCAAAGATCTTTTGTGGATATTTTTACACTTAACATTTGATACTTAAATAAAGATTTGCCTCACTGCCTACCTTCTTTATAAAATTAGATAAAATGAATATTTAATAGCTCCTGACCTCCAAAAAGTTAGGAGGTCAATAGGATAAATAATATTAAATAATAATATCCAGCAACAACAATAGCCTGATAAGTATTTACATAAATGTAAAAAGAAGGTTAAAGGTGCTAAATAGAGAATGAAAGAACGGTGAGTTAGTTAGTCATAAAAGTCTTGGAGGAGAAAGTCAAGTTTTAAGCTGGCCTCTGACAGAGAAAATAAACTTTTTATCTCAGACTAGTTTCTCTTAGAAGAATATCCTTTAGGACCATGACTTTTAATGGAGGGCATTTGGCCACCCCCCATGCTAGGAATATTGACATAGTCTGAAGATATTTTTGGTTGTCAGAACTAGGAGAGGTGCTACTGGCATCTAATGGGTAGAAAGCAGAAATGAGGATCAACAGCATACATTGTCCAGGAAGGGCACCCCCACAGTCCCCACCTCCCCCAACAAAAAATGCTGTTAATAGCTGAAAAACAAAAACAACTTGAGGATTATTCAGAACTGCTGTCTATCCATAATGAAAGCTGTATTGGCTTTTACATCTAAGTCACCCATGGGCCTCAAGAGGGAAGGAAAATAAAAACAGTACTTAGGACTTTTCAAGAGCAGATCAAAACACATTTTTAAAAGGAAACAAAAACCTCAAAAACTGCACTTAAATCACCATTTCTTAAATTGCATGCTGAGATATTCAAAAGAGAGCCGAACTGAGAAAAGGACTTTGTCAACACAAAAGTCATATTTTTCAAAGATCGTTGGTAGCAGTATAAAATATACTTTTTTATTCATAGAGTAAGTCAAATTAATTATTTATAATTTGTATTTAAACAATGCTAGGGTATAAACTAAAAGAAACAGAGAGAAGTTATCTTTTTTCTCCACTACCAAAACTGGAATATTTTATACACACACACACACACACACACACACACACACACACACACACACAAAATACCTGTACATATGAATGGGGTACATATGAGGTTTTGTTACATGCATAGAGAATGTGTAATAATCAAGTTGGAGTATTTCTGATACTCAGCACCTTCAGCATTTATCATTTCTATGTGTTGAGGATATTTCAAGACTTCTAACTGTTTTGAAATATACAATACGTTGTTGTTAACTATGGTCACCTTACTCTGCTATGGAACATTAGAACTTATTTCTTTTTTTAATCTAACTTTATGCTTGTGCCCACTGACCAATCTTTCTTCATCCCCCCAACACACACGTACCCATACCACTCCTAGCCTCTGAAATTTTAAAAGAGAATTCTATATGTTTACTTAAGGGTGTGTAGTAGGAAACAAACAAATTAATGCCAAAACTTCTTAGATGACACAAACTGTATCTTCTAAACTAACATTCCACAATTAGTATTGGTTGCATAAAGTTTTCTATACAGGTTTATTTGTAGGCTAAATAATTATTTTCTATTAAAAATGCACCATCTCCCAATAATCTTTATTTTTTCTTCTAATGATCCAAACAGAAGAGAGTGCTTTTATTTTATTTCCTCTTATTTTAAAGCTAACATTTATAGAGCATTGACTATATGCCTGATTCTGTGCTTTACATTTAGGTTCTCATTTATATACACATACAAAAAACCAAAAACAAAAGACAAAAAAAATCCCTCTATGTATGTCATAGATACCGCTATCATTAACACCACGTTACCTCTATTTACACAGAAAAGAAACATGACATTTAGAAAGATTAATTAATTATTCCATTCTCAGGAAGTGGCAGAACCTGGGCACAAATTCACAGTAGTTGGGTTGCATAGTCGACAATTTTAATAACAATCATGTCAAATATCTCACGATAAGCAAAGTTGATGCAATCAAATTTATTCTTAACACTAGGGTCTTGGTCTGTGGTGAGAGCATTGCTCCCTTTAGTGAGTTACTCATCTATGAAAGTAAGCTCTGAAATGACTGGAAGGGGGCTTGTGAGAAGAAATACTGGTGTTGAGGCTGCAAATATAAATGGAAAATAGAGTAATTTAGAACTGGGTTAAGGTATTTGGTCTTTACTTATTACTATTTTGCTTATACTGGTGGAATTTTTCACATGCTTGAAGTGTAATGAGTTATTTTCAGTCACTCACATTGTTTTGAGCTTGGCCAAAAATTATCAGGCAATTTTTTTTTCATGAAAAAAAGCCATCGGATGCATCCTGTATTCAATGTGAAAGTCTGCTGTGTCATTTTCTGGATGTTTTGTGGTTCTCTGATTGGCTGTGTCTCACACTGACAAAACGCATTCCTGAGATCCACTGATTAACATAGTAAGACATTGCTGCAGTCTCTTATTCATCACTGATTCATTAGTTCATAAGGCAAAACACATTCATTCAATGGTTTGTTCAAAAACTTTTGCTGAGAATTTGCTATCTGTCAGGCACTGCATTAAATACTAGGAATAAAACAGTGAGAAGATAGGTTCCTTACCTCAAAGTAGGATACATAGGAAGGAAGGGAGAAACTGAACAAGGCTATAAATATATTCATAAAATATTACAGATTGATAGAATTTGGAATTATTTGACAGAGAAAAGAGAAGGAATTGTTCAGCAGTCAAAGGAGGTATCTTGGGGTCACAGTTAAGTGAAATGAAAAGGATGAGCAGGATCTAGCCAAGAAAAGAATGAGAGAAGACCCTAGTCAGAAGTAACATACATGAGAGACCGCAGGTGGGATTGGAGGCAGTGATCAAGGAGAAGAATGGCTGGAGATAAGGTGGGAGATGTAGGTAGGGACCAGGCTGATGGTTTTGGTTTTCTGTTGAATGTGGTTGAAAAAATATTTCATCAAGGGAAAGTTATAATCTGATTTGCCTTTTTAGAAGAACACTTTGAGTTCTGGGTGGAAAATTTTATTGGAGTAGGCAAAAGCGAAATCAGGCAAATGATAGGAAATGACCAGAATAGTCCAGAAAAGGATGATGATGACTTGAACCAGGATAAAGAAAATGGAAATAAAGAAAAGTGGTGGAATGTTAGACATCTACTGATAGGATTTGCTCACACATTGTATGAGAAAAAGGAAGGAGTCAAGGATAATGCACAGCTCATTAACATACTAATAAAATAGAAAAACAAGGGAGGTCAAAAGGAGGACCAGATTGTTTTAGAGAGAGTGGTGAGGGAAAGGATAAGAACTTCTTGAGCTATCCAAGTGAGAATGTTTGAGGACACATTTAAGTAAAGAAGACTGTAAATTAATGGATAGTTCTGTACAGTGTAAAGTTCTAAAAAGCTGGAAGTGAATATCTTTTTTTTTTTTTCAAGATGGAGTCTTTCTCTGTCACACAGACTGGAGTGCAGTGGCGCAATCTCGGCTCACTGCAACATCCGCCTCCAGGGTTCAAGCGATTCTCCTGCCTCAGCCTCCTGAATAGCTGGGATTACAGGCACCCACCACCATGCCCAGCTAATTTTTTGTATTTTTAGTAGAGGTGGGATTTCACCATGTTGGCCAGGCTGGTCTAGAACTTCTGATCTCGTGATCTGCCCACCTCGGCCTCCCAAAGTGTTGGGATTACAGGCGTGAGCCACAGAGCCCGGCCCAGAAGTGAATGTCTTGATCAGCTCTGTGCAATAGAAACTTCCGTGATAATGGAAATGCCTGTATCCGTGCTCTCTAATAGTGTCCACTAACCACACGTGGCTATTGAGCACATGAAACATGGCTACTGCAACTAGGAAACTGATTTTCAAATTTCAATTTAACTTTAATTAATTTAAATAACCAGTATTTTACTCAAAACCCTTTATGGGGAACTGTATTTGTACTGTTTGTGTCCCCCCAAAGTTTATACTTTGAAGCCCTAGTCTCCAATGTGATGGCATTTGGAGATCAGGCCTTTGGGAGGCAATTAGGGTTAAATGAGGTCATGAGGTCAAGACAATGACCTGACTGAATTAGTGCCCTCATATAAAGAGATACCAGACAAATTGTTCTCTTTCTCTTTGTGCCTGAATAAAGAAGTTTTGTAAGCACTCAGCGAAATGGTGGCTGCCCGCAAGCTAGGAGAAGAGGCATCAGAATGGAAGCTATCTTCCTGGCACCTTGATATTACACTTCACAGTCTCCAAAACTGTAAGAAATAAATTCTTTTTTAAGCCACGAAGTCTACGGCATTTGGTTACAGCAGTCTGAGAAGAATAATCCAAGAATTCACTATTTTCCAGGCATTGCATTAGACAGTGGGACATTAATAACATTAAAGGACACAAGTCTTAGCTCTTATGGCATCTACCTATAATGTTTTTTGAAACCACAAATGTGGATGAGGTTATCCACAAATAAATTTTGAGAATTTGAGAATATAGGAGAAGAGAAGAGATCAGAGGACAAAAAACAAAAAAGAGAGGAGAGGAGTATGGTAAAGGAGAAGAGAAGAGAAAAAAATAGGAAAGGAGAGAAGAGGAGAAGAGGAAAAAAAGGAGAAATGTCTC